>NC_000012.12:68520734-68672249 GCF_000001405.40 Homo sapiens
TAAAAGTAAAAGTGGGCATTTTTATATTTATTAGTCACTTCTATTTCTCTTTGGTGAATTATGTATTTATGTCCTTTGCCCATTTAACTATTGGGTTCTTTATATTTTTCTTCTTGATATTTATGAATTCTTTACATAATAAAGGTATTCAATCTCTTGCTGTCAAGTTTACTGGATATATTTTCCCCTATTCGCTTTGTCATTTAAGTTGGTTTATGGGCTTAGACTTATATGGAGGAAGGGGGCAGTGCAGAGATATTTTTTATTTTTATAAATTCAAATATTTCAATAATTTCCTTTGGGAATTCTTCCATCGCTATTATACTCAAAAAGTCCTTTTTCCAGCCAGGCATCAAGTATTCATCTGCATTATTACATTACAGGTATTTCTCTCAAGTCCTAGCTGTAAAACAAAGATGAAAACCCTCATTCTCTAGCTCAAAGAACTCTACTAGCCAGTGAGGGAGACAGGCATATGCACAGATAAACATATATGTATAAGAAATGGCTAAAGGAAGACTTTTCATCCTATTTATAAATGTTTATGACTAGGTCAGGGGGACCAAATTTACCTAACGTAGCTCATCTCTCAATTTTACCAGAAGTTATTAATTTTGGACCATTGAACACATGCACAAAACTGTGCTGTTTCTAGAAATATATGAAATAGGAATATGATAGCCCATCCCAGCTGATCAGCCCCTTCTTCCTGGCTCTGGAGGTTTTAAAAACAATGACTCATTAAATATTTCCCAGGCAACCGTCTCTCCAATCTTCCCACAAGTCTGAGTTTGTCAGCCTGTTTCAATTTTATCTAAGAAATTAAATCTCGGCTTTAGTTTTTATTAGCACGTTTACTGGTTTGCTGTGCTTTAGAAAACATTTTTAAAGGAAACATGTAAATTATAATGAAGATAAGCCAGAAATGAAAAGCCTCAGATAAAATGGGAATGATTGTTAATGAATGACCATTAACAAAGTTTTCAGGAAATTAGCACAGATGACGTGGCAATCGCTTGTGAAGGAGGCCTTCATAGAACTGCCTTGCTTTTAGTGTGCTAAGAAATTCTGACTCTCATACACTGTTAACAGGAGTATAAAATATCACAGTGTATTGATTTGCCCCTATAGCTACTGAATGAATCATTTTTTAATAAACTGATATGATCTAAAAGATGTTATATATGAGAATTTCTACTAACTGAATGTGTGACCTTACTTAAATCATTTAATCATTTTGACCGATAGTGTCTTCATCTGCACAACAGGGATAAAATTACACTGTCCACTTTGCCTGGGTTGTTGTGAGGATTCTATGAGGAAAAAACATGTGAAAGCCATTATAAACTCTGATGAAATATACAAATATGCACTTGTGTTTTAAACTGCACAGCTCTCCATATGCTTATGCAGTTATGATTTTAGTATCTCTAATTATTTTCAAGGCTGATAGATATGCTACCCGTTAGTGAGTAATGTCCCTTGTCTTCATAGGGACCATTTCGATATCCTCACTTCCTGTGGGCATTGTTGAATGATAATCACTGTACATCACAGCTCTGTAAGGAACAGGCCTATTTCATTCACTGGCACCGCAGTCGGATCCTTTTATTCCTCTAGTACAGACTATACCCTCAGGTACAGTAAAAGACATATATTCAGTTAAAACCATTGCACAGTCTTAAGTGTACAGATAAAGTCCATTCTAACTATGCAAAATAAACTGTTTCTTAAACAAGTTTTCATTAATTTTTACCATAGTCTATCATTTCTATCAAAACTTTGCTTTTAAAATTGGTTCTGGCAAAATTCCCAAATATGCACCCTTCCAAATGTTTACTTATTTGGCATTAAAACTCCTAAAAATGTCCCTAAGTAATTAGAGAAAATGCAAAAGAAATTATCTAAAATGAGGTATTAAAATTATTCCAGGTAATATGGTGACTTGAACATGCATTTCCAGCTGCCCCTCCCATAAGCTCATTGAAATGACCAAGGGAATAAAAATACATATAGATGAACAAACCTACACTGGCAATGGAAACTAGGGCAAAGTGATAAGCACATAGTAGCAACATCAAAGACAGACACTCTGCGGGACATGAAGCAGACTAATCTGAGTTGAAGAAAGGACCCTATGTCCAAAGGCAACATAAGCACAGGAGACCTCAGAGAATCTCAATAATAATCCCTTACCTGTAGGGACAAAGACTTGGAGGTGAGACTTGCAGTCAGGGGCATTCTAGAAGGCAACCACAGAGACTCCAAGAAAAGCATGTGGCACCCAAGAGTATACACAGGGTTTTGCTCTTGACACAGATGTCTGTATTTCTTAACCTAAATTTTTTAACCCAGACACAATAATCACTGCTCTGCTTTGGACATCTTTTACAGCAGAATATATAGATCTACCCCCATTATTTCTAATGTTTAATTTGAATTTTAAACGTTATATATTTGTATAGCTGTACCACATCTGTGTGCATATTTCTAATGTTTAAGTTGCTTTTTTACTGTAGAGCTGTACCACATCTATGTGTATATCACTAGGATATAGTTAACTAGATTCCAAAAAGTATATTCCTCATCTAAAGCACGTGAATTTGTAATTCTGATTAATACTGCCAAATTGCCCACCTAAACTGTCATAGCAATTTATTTCCTACCAACAAAGTAGAAGACACATTCCCTGCTTCTTCTTATAATTTTTATTTAAATTGTATCTATTTATTAGAATTTCTTTAAAACTTTTCTACCAACCTGAGGGCAACAGTGACAGTTCATGTTGTTTTAATTTGCATTACTTTGGTAACTAGTGAAGTTTAGCATCTTCTCACACATTTCTAGGCCACTGTATTTCTTCTTCTATGAATTTTCTACTTTCCTCTTTTTGCCTATTTTTCAGTTGTGTTACTCTATTTTTTTTTTTTTCCCGAGACGGAGTCTTGCTCTGTTGCCCAGGCTGGAGTGCAGTGGCGCAATCTTGGCTCACTGCAGCCTCTGCCTCCCTGGTTCAAGCAATTCTCCTGCCTCAGCCTCCCAAGTAGCTGGGATTACAGACACACACCATGCCTGGCTAATTTTTGTATTTTTAGTAGAGACGGGATTTCCCCATGTTGGCCATGCTGATCTCAAACTTCTGACCTCATGATTCACCCACCTCGCCCTCCCAAAGTGCTGGGATTACAGGCGTGAGCCACTGCACCCAGCCTGGGTGCCTCTATTTTTTAAATGCTTTATATAAACAGGAGAGTAGGTAGGAGAACAAAATGTTGGAGCAAGTCGATCTAGATTTAAATCCCATCTCTGTCACTTAAGTCAACAAGTGAGTTTGGAGGAATTAGTTACCCTCTCTGTGCTTCCATTTCCTCACCTAGGAAAATAACAATAGTAGCTACCTCATAATGTTGTAGGATATTTTTTATTGATACATAATATTCGTACATATTTCTAGGGTTCATGTGATATTTTGTCACATGCATAGAATGTGTAATAAACAAGTCAGGGTATTTAGTGTCTCCATTATCTTGAGTATTTATGATTTCTATGTGTTGGGAACATTTTAAGTTGTGGGATTTCTAATGGCTTAAAATTAAAAAGCACTCTGTTAGTGCTAGGCACATAGAAAAGTGGCTAATAAGTGTTAGCAATTTGCAGGAGCTCACTGAACAGGACTAATAGGAATCATTCATCTGCAGTAATTTTCTTCCATCCTGTTCTTTGCTTTTATTTTGTTTTATTGTGTCTTTGACCATGCTGAAGTTTTTCATTTGTGTACAGTCAAATCTGTCAATCTTTTCTCGTAGGTTTTAATATTATGCTTAGAAAGGCCAGTCTCAGTCCAGGATTTTTAAAGTATTCTGTCACATGTTCTTCTAATTGTTTTATAATTTTATTTTCCACATTTGGCTCTTTATTAAAAATTTATTTTTATAAATTGGTAAGATAGACCAGCTTTATTCTTTTCCCAGTGGAGAACCAATTTTCCTGCTTCCCCTTTCCCTCTTTAATTTGAAATACACAAAATATTGACATTCCAATTAGAATGGCATTAAGTTTCTGTTGGAGGTGGACTTTGATGGAGGTGACTGGATCATAGGGACAGTTTCTTGTGAATGGTTTAGTACTATCACCCAGGGTACTGTCCTTGAGCTAGTGAGTTCTCGTGAGATCTAGTCATTTAAATGTGTGTATCACCTCACTACTTGCTCCTTCACTCCTGCTTTCACCATGCAACATACAAGCTCCCACTTCCACCTTCTACCATGTTTGGAAGCTTCCAGAGGCCTCCCCAGAAGCAGATGCCCCTATGCTTCCTATACAACCTGTAGAACCCTGAGCCAAATAAACCTCTTTTCTTATAAATTACCCAGTCTCAGGTATTTCTTGATAGCAGTGCAAGAATGGCCCAATACAGTTCCCCTATTACCTTGAAGAGGATTGATAATTTCACAGTATGGGTTGTCCTATCTTGAAACATGGTAGTTTCTGCATTTATTCAGGTCTTATATTGTGTCCTTAATTAGTTTTGTGGTTTTTCTTTGTACAAATTATACCCTGTTGGGAACAATCCCCCCAAAATCTGGCCCCAAAACGGGCTATAAACAAAATCTCTGCAGCACTGTGACATGTTCTGATGGTCACAATGCCCACGCTGGAAGGTTGAGGGTTTACCGGAATGAGGGCAAGGAATACCTGGCCCACCTAAGGTGGAAAACTGCTTAAGGGCATTCTTAAACCACAAACAATAGCATGAGCGATCTGTGCCTTAAGGACATGCTCCTGCTGCAGTTAACTAGCCCAACCTATTCCTTTAATTCGGCCCATCCCTTCATTTCCCATAAAGGATACTTCTAGTTAATTTGATATCTATAGAAACAATGCTAATGACTGGCTTGCTGTTAATAAATACATGGCTAAATCTCTGTTTGGGGCTGTCAGCTCTGAAGGCTATAAGACCCCTGATTCCCCACTTCACACCTCTATATTTCTGTGTGTGTGTCTTTAATTCCTCTAGCACTGCTGGGTTAGGGTCTCCCTGACCAAGCTAGTCTCAGCAATACCCGTTTCTTGCTCATATATTCTTAAACATTTCTTCTCTAATTTATTAAGTTAGTTTACTAACATGATCAATTGCAATAAAATATTTCCTAATGTTAAACTATCCTCTTACAGGGTTCTATTCTATGATTTCTTATGAAATTGTGTCAAACATACAAAAAAGTACAATATGCAGTATATTTATATTATATTTATTCTATATATTTAATAGAGGCTGTTAATATAGTATTAATTAAATATGTGTGTATTCACCATTGATCTTCTTTAAATCTTAACATTTGGCTGTATTTACATCATTAGAGGGAGGATGAAAATCTATGGATAGAGCCAAAGTTCCTTATATATGTATATACTTCTCACAGACACCATTCCCTTTGCTCCCTACTGAAGGATAACCACTATCCTGAATTAAACATTTATCATTACCATGGCTGTTTACAGTATTAATGCATATGAAGAGCTCATAAAATAGTATGTAGTACTATATAGTATTTTTCAACCTGTATATAAATCATTATCTTGTATTATTATTATGCAGCTTGCTTTTTGGGGCTCAAATTATTTTAAATATTTATAATTTTTATAAATCTGTGTTTATGGATTTATTTGTTTATTTATTTAGAGGTAGAGTCTCACTCTGTCACCCAGGTGTCACCCAGGAATACAGCAGTGCAATCATAGCTCACTGCAGCCTCAAACTTTCAGGATCAAGTTATCCTCCCATCTCAGTCTGCTGAGTATCTGGGACTACAAGCATGTACCACTATGCCTGGCTTTTTTTTTTTTTTTTTTTGGAAGAGAGTCTCACTCTGTTGCCCAGGCTGGAGTGCAGTGGTTTGATCTGGGCTCACTGCAGCCTCTACCTCCTGGGTTCAAGCAATTCTTGTGCCTCAGCCTCCCGAGTAGCTAGAATTACAGGCGCATGCCACCATGCCTGGCTAAGTTTTGTATTTTTAGTAGAGACAAGGTTTCACCATGTTGGCCAGGCTGGTCTCAAACTCCTGACCTCAGGGGATCTGCCTCCCTTGGCCTCCCAAAGTGCTGCAATTACAAGTGTGAGCCACTTGCCTGGCCCCTGGCTTTTATATTTATAATTATTGATACATGTAGCCCTAGTTTATTTATTTTGATGGGGACATAGTATTTCAATTCATGAATATATTATACTTTTTTGTTCATTTTTCTGTGGACAGACATTTAGGTGTTTCCAAACGTAGTTCTATGATGGAACTTCTTGTGCACATAGATTTCCTCTAGAGCTGCACTGCCCAATACAGTAGCTACTAGCCCTGTCTGTAAATAGCTTGTTCATGTCTTTACTCATTTTGCTATTGGATTGTCTTTTTCTTTTATATTTAGAGGACTACTTCATATATTTAGAAAACAAATATCATATTAATTACATGTAATGTAAATGCTTTCTCCCATTCTGTAATTTTTCTTTCAACTTTGATTACAGTGTCTTTGATAAACAGAGGGTTTTTATTTTATTGATCTTTGTTTTCATAGTATATGCCTTTTAGTGCTTTACTTAACAAATTCACCCCATACCAAGATTAAAAATATATCTCCTATGTTTTCTCTTAAAATGTCCTACTATGTTAAAAGCTTTGTTTTTCATATTTATGTCTTTAATATCCCTGGAATTAAAACTTTAGTGTATGATACAAGAATTTTCTTTTTGATGTGAATAACCAGCTGATTCATGACAATGTCTTAAATAGTTTGTCCTGTTCTCACTAATTTGTAATGTCCTATATTATACCTTCATATCTGCATGCAGTTCTTTTCCAGGATTTCTATTCTGTTCCATATAGGTTTATGTATATCCTCACACCAACATGGCATTATTTTAATCTTAGGTTTATAATAAGCATTGGTATCTGGTAGTACAAAGTAGCCCAGACTCTTCTTCAAAACTGGCATAGCTTTTGTTCTTTCTAATGAATTTTAGAATCAGTCTGACAAGATCCACAAAAGCCTCAAAATTATAAATCAATTTGGAGAAATTGACATCTTTATCATATTGAATCTTCCTTTTCATGAAAATGGTACATATTTCCATTTATTTAGAACTTCTTTAGCATCATTCAGTAGTGTTCTATTTTCTCCATAAAGTATTACAGATATTTTGTTAGATTTATTTGAAGATACAGTTTTGTTGCTATTATGAATTACATATTTTTCATTAATTTTCTAAAGACTAATTACCAGTATAGAAATGCTATGGTATCCAGCAAACTTGTTGAATTCTCATTGGTTCTAATAGATGGTCTTTAGAATCTCTATAAGTAATCATATCTTTTACAAATTAAAAAAAGGTTTTATCTTTCCAACGTCTTATTTCTTTTCCATTTTTTTCTTTCTTTCTTCCCTTCTTTTTTTATTTTCTTTTCTTTTTTCTTTTTTTTTTTTTTTTTTTTTTTTTTTTTGTCTTACTGCATTTGCTAGAGCTGCCAGTACAATGTTGAATAGAAATAGTGACAAAAGACTGTTGGTCTTGCTCTTACTTTAGTAAGAATACTCTCACCCACTTGTGCAACAAAGAAGGACCCCATCTCTATAAAAAATTTTAAAATTAGCCAGGCATGGTGGCATGTACTTGTAATCTTCCAGATACTCAAGAGGCTGAGGTAGGAGGATCACTTGAGCCCAGGAGTTCAAGGCTGCAGTGAACTATGATCATGCCACTGCCCTCCAGCCTGGGTGAGAGAGTGAGACCCTGTCTCTTTCAAATATAATAATAAAAAAAATAAAATAAAAGATAACAAAATAAAGACTTTCTGACTTTTTTTCTTTTTTGAGACGGAGTTTCACTCTTTTTGTCCAGGCTGGAGTGTGATGGTGTGAGCTGGGCTCACTGCAACCTCCGCCTCCCGGGTTCAGGCAATTCTCCCGCCTCAGTCTCCCGAGTAGCTGGGATTACAGATATGTGCCACCATGCCCAGCTAATTTTGTATTTTTAGTAGAGACAGGGTTTCACCATGTTGGCCAGGCTGGTCTCGAAGTCCTGACCTCAGGAGGCCCACCTCGGCCTCCCAAAGTGCTGGGATTAAAGGTGTGAGCCACCGTGCCCAGCCAAGATTTTCTGACTTATCTCTTGTAGCTGACTGTTGTTTGAATTCCTTTTCTATTCTTATTTCTAGTTTTCTAAGAAAGAGAGGTTGTGTGTATGGGTAAGTGTGTGAAAGATTTGAATTTTATCAAATGTGCTTTCAGCACCTACTGAGATGATCATATGGTGATCAGGAAGGTAGAAATAACAGGGAGACAGAAAATTCTTGGCAAAGAATTTGTGGCCAAATCCTCTAAAGCAACTGTAACAAAAACAAAAATTGACAAGTGGGACCTAATTAAACTAAAGAGCTTCTGCACAGCAAAAGAAACTATCAACAGAGTAACAGACACCCTACAGAATAGGAGAAAATATTCACACACAATGCATCTGACAAAGGTTTACTATCCAGAATCTATAAAGAATGTAATTCAACAAGCAAAAAACAAATAACTCCATTAAAAAGTAGGCACGTGACATGAACGGGCACTTCTCAAAAGAAGACATAAAAGGGACCAACAAACATGAAATAATGTTCAACATTAGTAGAATCAGAGAAATGTAAACCAAAACCACAGTGAAATACCACCTCACTCCAGTCAGAATGGTTATTATTAAAACGTCAAAAAATAACAGATGCTGGCAACACTGCAGAGGAAAGGGAACACTTTAATAACAATACCCCCATCAGCTTGGGCAACAAAGCGAAGACCACGTTCGTGGGGACATAAATTAGTTCAACCACTGTGGAAAGCAGTTTTGAGATTTCTCAAAGAACTTAAAACTGAACTACGATTCGACCCAGCAATCTCACTACTTGGTATGTAACCAAAAGAAAAGAAATTGTTCTGCCAAAAAAACACATGCACTCATATGTTCATTGCAGAACTATTCACAATGGCAAAACATGGAATTAACCTAGATGCCCATTAACAGAGGATTGGATAAAGACAATGTGGTACATATGCACCATGGAATACCTTGCAGCCATGAAAAAAGAATTAAATCATGTCCTTTAACATGAATTCAACTGGAGGCCATTATCTTAAGAGAATTAATGCAGGAACAGAAAACCAGATATTGCACATTCTTTCTCACTTATAAGCAGGAGCTAAGCATTAGGTATGGACGTAAAGATGAGAAAAATAAACACTGGAGACTACCAGTGGGGGAGAGAGGAAGAGGGACAAGGACTGAAAACTCCCTGTTGGGTACTATGCTTACCGCCGGGGTGATGGGGTCATTCACACATTCATACTCCAAACCTCAGTGTCACAAAACATATCCATGTAACAAACCTACACATCTACCCCCGAATCTGAAATAAAAGTTGAAATTAGTTTTAAAAATAGCATTTACAAAATACCTTAAAAAATAAATAAAATAACTTGTGCTTTTCTGGGTAGACCACCGGTCTTTAGGTATGTCAATTTACCTTTCTGGGATTTCGTCCAATGTCGAAAAATAAAGAAATTGGACTAAGTAAAAAGCAAGAATATCCCCACATTTTCAACACCAAAGTATGACATTAAACCATTATTGGTTTTTTAAAGTTTCCTTTTCTATTCCTATTCCTAATTTTCTAAGACAGAGAGAGAGAGAGAGTGTGTGCGCATGTGTGTGTATGTGTGTGTGTGGTGAATGTGTGAATGAGTTTTCAATTTTATCAAATGTGGTTTTAGCACCTACTGAGATGATCATATGGTGAACAGAAAGGCAGGAATAACAGGGAAACCTTTCACTGTATACCTTTTGTAGCTGTTAAATTTTGTACCAGGATTTTTATTTCTAGTAATAGCGCAGGCTAGGTAATTGGAATAACCCTCCAGCTGAAAATACAAAATAAAATATTAGTAAAACCTTAAAAGCATCAAAGGGGTGTCAAGAAGGAATTATTAAGTCAAAATCTTAGTGAACATGGGAACCCAGAAGGGAACCAGACACTGAGGGCATTTGCCAAACCTGTCCAATCTCAGCCTTGATTTCCATGGTCTCAGGACATGTGGGAGAATAGAAGACAAAGCCCATAACTGCTTGGGGAACCTAATAGGATACTCAGATCCCAGAGGACTGGTATAAGGATGAACCCTTGGTGGAAGGATGAATCAAAAATAAACTCTACAGCCCTTGCCCTAGGGGACTATAAGTAAAGACACTTAAGAGAGTAAAGGAGAAGTTCCCTAATAAGTGGCAATGCCATGCTAGCCCTCATGAGGATTTATAGTCCAAATTAATATAAACTGAATGATCCAGGAAAAAGTCAAGAACTGGTACTGTTTCCAGGCATACAGCCAAAGCAAATCCCCCACTGGAAGAACTTACATCATCCAGGGACTCAAAGAATGCTCACAAATAATTTTCCAAAGAAAATACTCACAGTCATTAAAGAGACAAAGTACTACAGCAATAAGCAACAAAAATAACAGAAAGTAGAAAGAGGACTGAAAAAAAATCTGATACTAGAATGATCAGACACAGATTACAAAGCAACTATGATCGTTCAATAGCCAAGCTTGAAAATAAATGCAGATAATAAGAAACTGCAAAACGATGAAGCAGTTTTTTGTAAAGAATCAAATAGGACCACAATAACTGACAATTATATTTATTACAATTACAAACTAAATGAATGGTTTTAATGGCATATTAGGCATAGCTGGAGAAAAAAGAAATATTGAAATGGAGGATAGGCCAGAAGAACTTGTCTGGAAGGAAGCACAGAGAGGCAAAGAGATGTAAAACATAAAAGAAACGTTAAAAGGCATGGAGGACAGATTGAGAAAGAAGCATGCCTCTAATTAGAGTTCCAGAAAGAAAAAAGCATGAGAATGCGACAATATTTGAAGAGATAATAGAAAAAAGTTTTCCCAAATGATGAAGGTTACCAATCACAAATTAAAGAAGTCCAGTGAATCTCAATCAAAATGAATTTGAGGCCCTGCACGGTGGCTCATGACTGTAATCCCAGCACTTTGGGAGGCCCAGGCAGGAGGATCCCTTGAAGTCAGGCGTTCAAGACCAGCCTGGCCAACATGGTGAAATCCCATCTCTACTGAAAATACAAAAATTAGCCAGGCGTAATGGCGCACGCCTGTAATTCCAGCTACTCAAGAGGTTGGGGCAGGAGAATCGCTTGAACTTGGGAGGTGGAGTTTGAGATTATGCCATTGCACTTTGAGACTCGATCTCAAAAAAAAAAAAAAAAGACGAATTTGAGCTTTGTGAATGTGTTACTTAGTTGAAATTTTTAAATTTTTAAATAGCTTTTTAAAAAATAACCCAGATTGGGGAGAGGGAGGCAGGAGATGGTCTAAAAAGAAGGTTGCATATTATATTAGTTGCTTTGATTAAATTTGCCTTTGTTAACTTAGCAGAAAATACACTAAAAATGTAAAAAAAATAATCATATTGCTCATTTAATATTTCCACATACAAAAATTGCTTATCCAAACTTCTCTAAAGTCTACAAATTAATCATTATTGAAGCACAGATTATGCAATGTTCTCACGTAAAAAAAAAGAAATGTTGGCTAATGAAAACTAGTAGCTAGGTACTTTTTTAGCCAGAATTTTATTTCAACCACAGAAACATGACTTGAAGCAGAAATCTGAACTAAAGTAAACCCTGAATCAAAAATCCAAAAAGAACTATACTCATCTGCCAGATATACAAAGGGAACCAAATCCAAATATGGTAATACTTTTTTACAGAACTAAAATTCTCTCAGAAAATCACTTGTTTGTGTCTGATTTTTTTTCTAAGAAATTACTTTTTTCAATACTTCTAGAAAAATATTACCTAACAAGGGAGTGTGTACTTAAGAAGAACAGTTGGACAATAAATAAAATGGCTAACCTACTCTCTTCCCCAGAAACTTACCCAACCCAGTCTGAGCAACAAGCTGAAAAGCAGGGTTCTGAGAACCAGGTATTAAGGGGAGTTCCCAGAGGAGCTTGGGAAACACAGAAAATAAGAGGCTGCAAGCCTGTTCTGAGGTGGAAAAGGATCTAAAAACTGGTAAAGGAATGAAAACCTTAATTTTTTTTTCTGTCTTTTTTTTTTCTTTCCCCCCCCTCACGATCATTTCTCCTTTTCCTTCTCTCTTGTTCAGATCACCTCTGGGTTCACATTTCTTTTGCCTTTTATTTGCATGTTTTTATCTTCTGTGTCTCTGCTCTTCTACCTCTGATTTGTCTTGTCTTGTCCCTTTTATCCCCTTTCCTTTATCTTCTCTTTTTCTACTTCTTTTTCCTTTCTCTGGTCTTTGTTATTTTCTTTTTCAGTCTTTACCTTTTCTCCATCTTTTCTTTGCAATTATCTGATCTCGTGCCCCACCAAAAGCAAAAGATGTTTATAATCTTATGAAGCAGATTTGACAATACTTATGTATATGCTTTATCTAATGTGATGATATGCAATGTTCATAATATTTCGAAGCAGAGGATGTTATTCATACACTGATCAGGACTTTTTGTGAAATGCTATTTCTATTTTCCACCATGTTCACCTCATAATTTGCAAAGCACTTTTTAGTGAACATCAGTAACAAATTCAAAATTCATAAGAGTGGTAGAATTCAAGTTAACCTTCATATTTCTTACTATGGTAGTCAGCCTCTGAGATAATACCCAGTGACCCTTACCTCCTTGTATTTATGCCCTCATGTAGTTCCTTCTTATATTGGATCAAGTCTGGTTTGTGTGACTAGCAGAACATCACGGAAGTGATGATGTAACTTCCAAGGTTAGATAATAAAAAACATTACAACTTCCACATTGCTTCCTTGGTCGCTTGCTCTGGGGGAAGTCTTTCTTTTTTTTTTTTTTTTTTTGAGACGGAGTCTCGCTCTGTTGCCCAGGCTGGAGTGCAGTGGCACAATCTCGGTTCACTGTAAGCTCTGCCTCCCGGGTTCACGCCATTCTCTGGCCTCAGCCTCCCGAGTGGGTGGGACTACAGGCTTGAGACACCGCGCCCAGTGCTCTGGGGAAGTCTTACAACCACCGTGTTGTAAAGACACTCCAGCAGTCTTATGGAGAGGTTCATATGATGAAGAACTGAGGTCTCTTGTCAACAACCAGCACTAATTTGCCACCTATGTGAGTGCATCATCTTGGAAGCAGATCCCTCAGCCCCAGTCAAGCCTTCAGATGACTGCAGCAGGGGTCAACATTTTGACTGGAGTCTTATGAAATATGCCTCAGGCCAAAACTATCCAGCTAAGCTGCTCCCTGATTCCTTATAGAAATAATAAATTATCTTTATTTATCTATAATAATATAATTGTTTATTATTGTTACTAATAGTAAATGCTCATTATTTTCAGCCACAAAATTTTGCAATAATTTGTTATGTAGAAATAACTAACATACTTATTGTTTTGTTTTGTTGAGATGGACTCTGCACTTTGAGGCTGGAGTGCAGTGGTGCTATTTTGGCTCACTGCAACTTCTGCCTCCCAGGTTCAAGAGATTCTCCTATCTCAGCCTACTGAGTAGCTGGGATTACAGCCAGATGCCGCCATGCCTGGCTAATTTTTTGTATTTTGGTAGAGATGAGGTTTCACCGTATTGCCCAGGTTGGTCTTGAAATCCAGAGCTCAGGCAATCCACCTGCCTCGGCCTCCCAAAGTGCAAGGATTACAGACGTGAGCCACCGCATCTTGCCTACTGTTATTTTTTGAAGAAAAAAAAATTTGTGTATAAGTAAACATCTGAAAATACTTTTTCCTTTATTCCACCCATAATAAATATGCACACACCAATTCCAGAAATGAAATTTTAAAATAATTTTGTAACTTTCTTTTATGCACTCAGTTTCATTCAGCAGTACAAGAGTACTAACAAAAGTACTTTTTTAATTAATTTTTCTCATATGAGAATGGAGAAAATAATATACCTAGAAGAAAATTAATAATTTTATATCTAACAAGTCTAGTTTTGTTATAAAACAAGGCCTCTTGACAACATATAACAGACAAGCGACCAGGCACGGTGGCTCACACCTGTAATCCCAGCATTTTAGGAGGCCAAGGCAGGCAGATCACATGAGGCCAGGAGCTTGAGACCAGCCTGGCCAACATGGCGAAAACTCATCTCTACTAAAATTAAAAAACTTAGCCGGGCATGGTGGCTCACACCTGTAATCCCAGCACTTTGGGAGGCTGAGGTGGGCGGGTCACGAAGTCAGGAGATTGAGACCATCCTGGCCAACATGGTGAAATGCCATCTCCACCAAAAATATTAAAAAAAATTAGCTGGGCGTGGTGGCACGTGTCTGTAGTCCCAGCTACTTGGGAGGCTGAGGCAGGAGAATCACTTGAACCCAGAAGATGGAGGTTGCAGTGCATCAGGATCGCACCACTACACTCCAGCCTGGGCGGCAGAGCAGATTGCGTCTCAAAAAATAAAAATAAAAATTAGCCAGGCATGGCGGTGCACGTCTGTAATCCCAGCTACTCAGGAGGCTGAGGCAAGAGAATTGCTTGAACCCGGGAGGTGGAGGATACAATGAGCTGAGGTCGCGCCACTGCCCTCCAGCCTGAGTGACAGACCAAGACTCTGTCTGAAAAAAACAAAAACAAAAACAAACAAAAACAGACAAGTAATATCAAACAAAAAAAAAATGGAAGCAATATGGTATGAAGTAGAAAAAAAGTTCCATTCTCCCAAAACAATGCATTTAAATTAGTTCTGAAATAACTTCTCCTAACTATCCATAATACGATGCTAAAGAAATTTGTGTTATTTGTTCTCATTTTGAACACCATTTTTGTGTGTGTTTGTTTTTTGAGAGGGAGTCTTGCGTGTCGCCCAGGCTGGAGTGCAACAGCACGATCTCGGCTCACTGCAGCCTCTGCCTCCCAGGTTCCAGCGATTCTCCTGCCTCAGCTTCCCCAGGTAGCTGGGATTACACGCACAACACCTTGCCCAGCTAATTTTTGTATTTTTAGTAGACACGGGGTTTCACCCTGTTGGCCAGGCTGGTCTCGAACTCCTGACCTCAGGTAATCCTCCCACCTCAGCCTCCCAAAGTGCTGGGGTTACAGGCATGAGCCACTGTACCCGGCCTGAACACATTTATTAATATATTCCCCATTCATAATTATGCTTTCAAATAAATTTTAAGGCCAGGCACAGTGGCTCACGCCTGTAATCCTAGCACTTTGGGAGGCCAAGGAGGGCAGATCACTTGAGGTCAGGGGTTCAAGACCAGCCTGGCCAACATGGTGAAACCCCGCCTCTACTAAAAATACAAAAATTAGCCCAGGCGTGGTGGCACATGCCTGTAATTCCAGCTACTCAGGAGGCTGAGGCAGGAGAATCCCTTGAACCCAGGAAGTGGAGGGTGCAGTGAGCTGAGATTGCACCACTGCACTCCAGCCTGGGTGACAGAGTGAGACTCCGTCACAAAAAATAAATAAATAAATTTTAAAACAAAAGTAGTATTAAATCTTGTCAAATCTTGTAAACAGGTATTACTATCTAGCTTCCGCCACATAATTTTTTTCTTAAATTAAAAAAAAAAAAAAATGTGTTGAACTGGGTGTGGTGGCATAAGCCTGTAGTCCCAGCTACTTAGAAGGCTGAGACAGGAAGATCACTTCAGCCTAGGAGTTTGAGGCTGCAGTGCACTATAATTTTGCCTGTGAATAGCCACTGCACTTCAGCCTGGGCAACATAGCAAGACTTCATCTCTTAAAAACAAAAGTGAACTCATGCTTTTAATTACCCTAGCATGCAACCTAATAATGCTATTAACCCAAACTAAAATACAACATCAAAACATTTCTCCATATCAAAACTGAACTCTACTATTCTATCGTTTAATTGAATCTCTAGATTCACTTTGGTGTAGAGAGACTATAATAGTGAATTTTTTTCTTGCAAAGTATTCTGACAGGTATAATGTGATCATCATTTACATGATCCAAGATTAGGCTGATAATAAAAAGGAATTAGTTCAAAACACCAGCCTTAGAATCCCTCAGTACGTGTTTCCTTTATAAAAGTAACTACATTATATTTGTAGTGGCCTATGAGGATTTTGATAATCTCTGCAGCTTAGATGCTGAATGAAATGCATTCAATGATTCAATAAATACTTATTGTGCTCTGATTATGTGCCAGGCATCCTACAGCTTGAGAAACAGAGATGAATAAGGCACACTGGGTTCCTGTTTTCTTGGTCTTCATATCACAATGGTTGGCAGGCAGACCACAAACAAGTAAAAAATAAAAATATTCAAGATCACTTCAGATGATAATAAGTGTTGTGAAAGAAATCCAAAGGGTGACATGCAGGGGAAAACTTTATAAGGCGTGATCAAGGACAGTATCTCTTGAGGGGGAGATGCAATCTGAAACTTTGGGTCAGAAAATTCCAGTTGGAGGAAATATCTAACATATATTGAATCATTTCCTTAGGTCAGTGGTCCCCAGCCTTTTTGGCACCAGAGCCCGGTTTCGTGGAAGACAATTTTTCCACAGACAGTGGGGGATGGAGATGGTTTTGGGATGAAACTGCTCCACCTCCGATCATCAGGCATTCGTTAGATTCTCAAAAGGAGTGTGAAATCTAGATCCCTCACATGCGCAGTTCACAATAGGGTTCAGGCTCCTATGAGAATCTAATGCCGCTGCTGATCTGACAGGAGGCGGAGCTCAGGCAGTAACGCTCCCTCACTCTCCGCTCACCTCCTGCTGTGCGGCCCAGTTCCTAGGAGGCCACAGACCATGCCCTGGGGTTTGTGGACCCCTGCCTTGGGTGATATCCCATTATTTTTGTACCCAGAAACCCCTAAGACACACTGTAAACCATGATCAAATATATTTCTACCCTTTGTCCATTGGCTTCAACTGTGGTCCTCTAGGTTTGATCCTAGAATAGATATGATGATCGTGTGCAAAGTGTTCAATATGCTGACTCACCTTCATTTGCACTCTAGCAACCTTGGCTAATGAAGAATCATTTGGGGAATATTAGATACCATTTTGACCCTTAATTTATCCTTCATTCTCAGGGACTTTGAATTAATTTTGAAAAACTAGTGTTGAAATGTAAGGTTAGGATCTCAAAATTCTTTGTTAGTCTACTAAAGAATCATTTTTTTCCGTCAATTAGCCTCTTAAATTCACATTAGCCAGACATGGTGGTGGACCCTGTGGTCCCAGCTACTTCAGAGGCTGAAGCAGGAGGATCACTTAAGCCCTTGAGGTTGAAATTACACTGAGCTATGATCGTACCACTCCACTTCAGCCTGGGCAACACAGCAAGACCCTGTCTCTAAAGAATAATAATAATAAATTAATAATTTAAAAAACATTATGTTGAAGTCTGGCCAGTTCAATGACTGGAAAAGCAACCATGATATCTTGTATTTATAGAGTCCTGTTTCCAAGTAACCATCCATGAAGCAGCTTAAGACTATCCACAGTAGCTTCCCACCCATGACAGCAGTGATTCTGCCCATAAACTAGCTGGTTTACCCAAGATTCCATCAGAGGCCCTCTAGCTCCCACAAAGATTTCATTAAAAGATATCAATAAAATCTAAACTATTTTATTTTTGGCAAAAGTCTTTTGGTAAAAGGCATTTTTGGTAAAATATCTATTTCATACTTTATTCTTGCTCTTCAAACTTCCAACATATTTGTTATTCTTCTAGCTGCTGAGAGTCTTATTGTTTTGCTGAGAAAATAAATAGAGGCAATCAGAAAAGAGCTTCCAAAGACTACATCAAAAAACATGTCCCCGTGAGCACCTAGAGGCCTCCCCATAATTTCTAAAAAAAAAAATCCTACAAGTTTATTTTTAGAGTCTGTTTGCCTCCAGTCTTAGGTCCATACATGTTAACCTTGATATACTCAATTGATCTAGACACAAGCCCAACCCTTACCCACGCTTCTACCAAAAAATAAAATAAAGTAAAATAAAAAATTAGTTGCATCAAGTACTTAGCCAGCTCAGTCATTTTAGCAAAGGCTTGTGCGGGAGGATGGAGAGGAAGAGTCACGTTGAGAAGATGTTCTCTGATTGGCTCCAATGCTCCTCCCCTCCCAGGCCCTCTGGACGCCCTTGCAAGTTACAGCCAAATTGCTCCCTTTGTCTCAGAAACATTCCGCCCACACCCTGGCCCCTCCTGGGATCTCTTCTACTTTAGAAGCTCTTATCAGGGTATTTTTCAGAGTAATTACATTTCCCTTTCTGAAGGAATTCTGGTGCCAACTGTTAATAAAATAACATTCCTCCTCCTTATTACATGGGATGCACCAATTTTTATCCTGGAGCAGCTTCCAGTGTTAGAATAGACAGCAGGAGATTTCATGTATTTTAGAGCTTAGTAAACTTAACTTTTACCAAAAATAAAATAGTTTAAAAACAAAATGGAGCCGCAGGGAGGAGTACTTAGAGGGGCGGAGCTAACAAGTGGTTTTCCACGTTTGCTCAAAGTGGGGGCTGTTGATGTGTGTGGTTTGTCACCGCAGGCTTCCAGAGCCAAGTTACATAAAAGAGCAGTCCCTTTCACTTTCTAAAGGATTGTATTTTGCTGCAAACTGTGACCATGCATAATGAGCTTTTGATACATTTCTTTTAAAGTGCATGGTATAACCATAGGGTTTTGCATTTTCGGGTCCTCCCCTCTTAATTGAAGGACTGGCACACACAAGATGACATCACAAATTCCTTAGTTTCATTAAAAACAGTGACTACTCTATCCACTTAAGTTATGAGAATTGCTTTTCTAAAGGAAATACATTTATCGGGAGCCACAGAAATTTTCTAAATATAGGGTAGCTTCCTGAAACAGTAGAAGCAAGTGCCTTCAGGACAGTTTATTTATATAATTTAATGGAATTTGATTCCTTTGAAATTGGCAAGTAAATATAAGTAAAGGGAAAGCTGTCTGTTATTTTTTATGGAAGTATTTCATGAAGATCTTAGGTTTCATATCATTACACATTCCTTGGCTCAGTTGATAATGGGCACGTAAACTACTTTATGCAATTGAAAGGGGTATACTTTTCACATAATTTGGGGGTGTGATTATTATTCAAATATATGTGCCTAATTATTACAAACACCCTTAGAATTAATTTATCTGGGCCAGTATTTTCATGATTAAATCCCTCCCCCAATCCTTTCTTGACCCCTGCTTGGTAATTAAATCACATTTTATTATAACAGTGCTTCTTAATAAGACAGTCAATTCTTGCAGTGTCCCTGCAATAAAATGCTCTTCCAGAGCACAGTCTGCACCATCTAGATGATTTCTACAGCCAGTACCAAAGGGCCATTTGTCCCAGGCAGGCATTGAATGACCGTACCCTTTTTAAAGCAGTTCTCCTTAGCAAATGCCCAGTTTATGAGGCCTTTCTACTAAGGGAGGAGACCACCCCTCATATTTTCTTATGCCCAATTTCTGCCTCCAAAGAAAGAAGAAGTAAAAACTAAAAGGCAGAAATGAAATCCACAGTCAGACAGCCCTGCGCCACACCCTGGGCCTGGTAGTTAAAGATTGACCCCTGACCTAATCGGTTATGTTATCTATAGATTACAGACATTGTGTAGAAAAGCACTGTGAAAATCCCTGTCCTGTTATGTTCCGTTCTAATTACCGGTGCATGCAGCCCCCAGTCACATACCCCCTGCTTGCTCAATCAATCACAACCCTCTCATGCAGACCCCCTTAGAGTTGTGAGTCCTTAAAAGGGACAGGAATTGCTCACTCGGGGAGCTCTGTTTTTGAGATGTGAGTCTTGCCGATGCTCCTGGCCAAATAAAGCCCTTCCTTCTTTAACTCGGTGACTGAGGGGTTTTGTCTGTGGCTCGTCCTGCTACATTTCTTGGTTCCCTGACTGGGAAGCGAGGTGATTAACAGAAGGTCAAGGCAACCCCTTAGGCGGCTTAGGCCTGCCCTGTGGAGCATCCCTGCAGGGGACCCCAGCCAGCTTGAGTGACGTGGATCCTGAGAGCGCTCCCAGGTAGGCAATTGCCCCAGTGGAACACCTAGTCAGAGTGGTGCATGGCAGGCCCCTGCAGAGGATCAACACAGTGGCTGAACACCAGGAAGGAACTGGCACTTGGTGTCCGGACATCTGAAACTTGGTAAGACTAGTCTTTGGAACTTGCACACTCCTTTGGAGTGGAAGCGTGGCCTGATAACCCACGGCATGCCTGTACCAGCACTTTGGTTTTTGTTTTTGACTTGACTTGGATTGCTTGATACTTTGGTTTTGGTTTTGACCTGGCTTGGATTGCTTGATACTCTGATTTTGGTTTTGATTCTGGTTTGGTGTAAACTGTAAAAGTGTGTGTGTACCCTTTTTACCCATTCTTTGTTTTGTGGTGTGCGTGTGGTGTGAACTTGGTGTTTTGCCTCAAGGAAGCATGGGTCAGGCACAAAGTAAGCCCACCCCACTAGGAACTATGTTGAAAAATTTCAAGAAAAGATTTAAGGGAGACTATGGAGTACTATGACACCAGGAAAACTTAAAACTTTGTGTAAGATAGACTAGCCAGCATTACAGGTGGGTTGGCCATCAGAAGGAAGCCTGGATAGGTCCCTTGTTTCAAAGGTATGGCACAAGGTAACCTGTAAGCCAGGGCACCCAGACCAGTTCCCGTACATAGACACTTGGTTACAGCTGGTTTTAGACCGCCCCGCCACAGTGGCTGAGAGAACAGCAGCATAAGCGGCTAGCAGAGGCAAGGAAAGACCAGCAAAGAGAGAGAGAGGAAGAGACAGAGAAACAAAGAGGGAGTCAAGAAAAGAGAGAAAGAGAGAGAGAGGCAGAGAGAGAGGAAGAGACAGAGGCAAAAGGAAAGTCAAAAAGAGAGAAAGAACAAAAGAAAGAGAAAGAAAGAGAAAGAAAGAAAGAAAGAAAGAAAAAGAAAGAAAGAAAGAAGAGAAAAGAAAGAAAGACAGAAAGACACAAGTAGTTAAGGAAAAAAAAGTGTACCCTATTCCTTTAAAAGCCAAGGTAAATTTAAAACCTATAATTGATAATTAAAGGTGTTTGCTGTAACCCTATAACACTCCAATACCACTTTGTTGTCAGTGTAAACCAGGGCATATCCTGAAAGCACTGAGGCCTTCCTATCAACAATCCTTAACCCAGTAACCCACAGATGGCCCAAATGCATTCAATCTGTAGCAGCAACTGCTTTGCTAACAGAAGAAAGTAAAAAAATAACTTTTAGAGGAACCTCATTGTAAGCACACCTCACCAGTTCAGAAGTATCCTAAAAAAAAAAAAAAAAAAAAAAAAAAAAAAAAGATGGTTTAACATTAACCACTGAAAATTGCCTTAACCCAGCAGGTTTCCTAACAGGGGATCTAAATCTTAATTACCATACAAAGGTCCAACCAGACCTAGGAGGAACTCCCTTCAGGATAGGACCATAGATGGTTCCTCCCAGGTAATTAAAGGAAAAAAAAAGCCATCTGTACCAATTCTAAGTTAATTTGGACTAAACAAGGTCTTATTAATAGCAAAGGATAATTGAAATCCCAAACTTACAAGGTTTTCAACAAAAGTAAAGTTTGCTAAAAGTTAACCATGTAACATGTATTATAGTAACTTCTAATCTTGTGGCGTTAGATAGTCTGGTCCACAGACATAAAGGAAGTTCACTTTGGAAAAGAATGATTATCTTTGAAAAAAAAAAAAAGGGGGAAAAAAGGGGGGGCAGAATTTATGTAAAAAGAATGTTATATAGTAAATTCTTGTCCTGAAATAAATTAACTGGTTGTTTAAAGAAAGAAATGTTTGTAATAAGTCAGAAAGTTAAGGCATGTCAAAGAATTGTCTGTAAAAGTCATGAAAGAGAAAAAATCATTTAAAAAAAGTGTGTTAAAAAAAGAATTTATACAAGAAATGTTGTATAATTTAAAAGTAATTGGGCCTCCTGAATGTAAAACTATTTTTTACCTACATTAATATGTTAAAATTTTGTTTTAAAAGTTTAATCAGGTTTTAAAACATTAATTGTGTGTAAATTCTGTGTGTAAACATATTAGCTAAAGTTAAAGGGGTATCACACAGTTTTTCTGTGAACTGGACATTAAAGTAAAAACATGACAGGTTTTTCTTAAAGCACTAACCTGCTCTTTAACAAAGATTATAAAAGGTTAAAAAGAGTCTATAAAAATCTTACCTTATGGTCTGACATTAAAAATTGAATAAATATGTATATAAAGTTTTATTAAAACTAAGTTTAACATTATAACACACTAATATAAAGGTGAAATTTAGCTTATCTGGTATAAAAATCATACCGGAAGCATTGTCAAATATAAAATGCTGATTGGCTTCTTTGGTCCAAAAACTAATAAAAATAGGTGCTAAAGGAAATTACTCAGTAGAAAGGCACCAAGGACTATAAAATTCACTGCTGGTGTCCCCACATTTAAAACAAAAGCTCAATTTCTTAGAAATTATGTACTTGGTTTATCTTCCACTTTCCTTTCCCTCAAAACTAAAAGTCTTTTAGCAAGTGTACCCCCCCCTAGAATTTCCAGTAAACCACCACCAGCATGAAGATCACATTCTCATCAAAGGGTGAAAAGAAAGGAAAATCGAGCCAGCCTAGGAAGGACCCTACCTTGTGCTGCTAACCATCAAGATTGCTGTTCATACAGAAAAAAAAGGATGGACTCATCACAACCAAGTCAAGAAAGCACCATCCCCTCCAGAGTCGTGTGCTATAGTCCCAGGGGAAAACCCTACCAAACTAAAGCTAAGAAAAATTTAATTCTTTCATGTATTCTATTACTCTTTCTTCTTTCCTGCTCTTTTGCTGACCTTCTAGTTATTAACATAACCAAGTCAATTTCGCCTCAAACTATTGCATTTAATGCTTGACTTGTTATACCCTGTGGGGACTTGCCAAGTCAAAGACAGCTCTCTACTTCAGAAAAGTACCTCTGTCCCTCCTGACTCTCCTCAGACTGGGCATTAGTAAATTAGGACCATTTAATCCAGGGAAATTTCGATAAAGGCTCCCGTGTCAACCAGGAGTCTTGTTCCCCAGTGTAGAGCTTTTATGCCATAGTTGGTCCAACATTCTGTGGACCACTAAAGAGCAAGGATGGACTACCCAAACAGTTTTTATAATTTCCTAAAATCATACATTCATTTTACTAGAGGATCATAGAAGTTAAAGACTTAAAACAAACTTTGGCAATTAAGACAGGATACCAAGATGCAAATGCCTGCTTGGAATGGATCAAATATTCCATCTGCACATTAAACAAAAGGAATTGTTATGCTTGTGCACATGGTAGGCCAGAGGCCCACATTGTCCCCTTTCCACTAAGGTGGTCCTCCAGTTGACCAGGTGTGGGCTGCATGGTAGCTCTTTTCCAGGATTCTACAGCCTGGAGTAATAAGTCGTGCCAAGCTCTCTCTACTATATCCCAAAGTACGGCACCCTGCAGGTCAGCCCAGGAGGACCATCCAGACTCTGTCTCCCAACACTAAGTTCACTTCCTGTCTCTCATGACAGGGAGGAAACGTAGCGTTCCTTGGAGACCTGAAGGGATGCAGTAAGCTTAAGAATTTTCAAGAGCTTATCAATCAGTCAGCCCTTGTTCATCCCTGAGCAGATGTATGGTGGTATTGCGGTGGACCTTTACTGGGCACTCTGCTGAATAACTGGAGTGGCAATTGTACTTTAGTCCAATTGGCTATCACTTTCACCCTGGCATTTCATCAACCAGAGGGAGGAAAAATAAGACATCGTAAAGCAAGAGAAGACCTTTATGGGTCTTTCAACTCTCACGTCTATTTAGACATGAGAGTCCCTCGGGGAATACCAGATCAATTTAAAGCTTGAAATCAAATAGCTGCAGGATTTGAGTCAATATTTTGGTGGGTGACAGTTAATGAAAATGTAGATTGGATAAACTACATCTATTACAACCAACAGTGACAAGCTTTTCATGAGTTAAAAGAAAAACTCATGTCAGCCCCAGCCCTGGGGCTACCTGACCTGACAAAACTCTTTACACTCTATGTGTCAGAAAGAGAAAAAATGGCAATTGGAGTTTTAACCCAGACTGTAGGGCCCTGGCCAAGGCCAGTGGCCTATCTCTCAAAACAACTAGACGGGGTTTCCAAAGGCTGGCCCCCATGTCTAAGGGCCCTGGCAGCAATGGCCCTGTTAGCACAAGGAGCAGATAAACTAACCCTTGGGCAAAACCTGAATATAAAGGCCCCCCCATGCTGTGGTAACTTTGATGAATACCAAAGGGCATCATAGGCTAACAAATGCTAGATTAACCAAGTACCAAAGCTTGCTATGTAAAAATCCCCACATAACCATTGAAGTTTGCAACAACCTAAACCCCACCACCTTGCTCCCAGTATCAGAGAGCCCAGTTGAACGTAAGTGTGTAAAGGTATTGGACTCAGTTTATTCTAGTGGGCCCAAACTCTGAGACCATCCTTGAACATCAGTAGGCTGTGAGCTGTACGTGGATGGGAGCAGCTTCACCAACCCCTGCAAAGTGACTCTGAAGAAGATGAGAAGCCCTACTCCAGTCACACCTGGAAGCTGACTGGTCCACATGTGCCCGAAGCATGAGAAAACTCATTGTGGGACTCATTTTCCTTAAAATTTGGACTCGTACAGTAAGGACTTCAACTGACCTTCCTCAGACTGATTACTATTCCCAGTGTATACATCAAGTCACTGAGGTAGGACAAAAAGTTGCTACAGTCCTATTATTTTATGGTTATCATAAGTGTACTGGGACTCTAAAAAGAACTTGTTTGTATAATGCTATTCTATACAAGGTATGTAGCCCCCAAGCTGATGTGTGTTATGACCCATCTGAGCCTCCCATGACCATAGTTTTTAAAATAAGATTAAGGACTGAGGACTAGTGAGGGCTCATAAATGATATGAGTAAAGTGTTAGCCAAAACAGAAGAAAAAGGAGTGCCCAAACAAGTCACCTTGAAATTTGATGCCTGTGCTGTCATTAATAGTAATAAGTTAGGAATAGGATGTGGTTCTCTTAATTAGGAAAGAGGCTATATGACAGAAAATAAGTACATTTGTCATGAATTAAGACTGTGTGGAAATGAATGTGGATACTGGTCTTGTGTCATTTAGGCTACTTGGATAAAAAAATGAAAGGAATCCTGTCCATCTTCAGAAAGGGAAAAGTGACCCTTCGTGTACCAGTGGTCTGTGTAACCCCTTAGAACTAGTAATAACCAACTCCCTTGATCCTCGCTGGAAATAAGGGGAGCATGTAACCCTAGGAATCGATGGGGCTGGACTGGATCCTCAAGTAAATATCGTGGTTTGAGGAGAAGTTTATAAACGCTCTCCTGAGCCAGTATTTCAAACCTTCTATGATGAACTAAATGTGCCAGTACCAGAAATTCCAGGAAAAACAAGAAATTTGTTTTTGCAATTAACCAAGCATGTAGCCCAGTCTCTCAATGTCACTTCATGTTATGTATGTGGAGGAACTGTAATGGGAGATCAATGGCCATGGGAAGCCTGAGAATTAGTACCTACAGACCCAGTTCCTGATGAATTCCCAGCTCAAAAGAATCACCCTGATAACTTCTGGGTCCTAAAAGCCTCAGTCATTAGACAATACTGTATAGCAAGAGTGGGGAAGGACTTCACCCTTCCTGTGGGAAGACTCAGCTGCCTTGGGCAAAAACTGTATAATAGTACTACAAAAACAGCCACCTAGTGGAGTTCAAACCACACTAAGAAAAATCCATTTAGTAAATTCCCAAAGTTGCAAACCGTGTGGACCCACCTGGAGTCCCACTGGGACTGGACAGCCCCCACTTGATTATACTGAATATGTGGGCATAGAGCTTACACCAAATTACCCGACCAGTGGGCAGGTAGTTGTGTTATTGGCACTATTAAACTATCTTTCTTCCTACTGCCCATAAAGACAGGTGAACTCCTGGGCTTCCCTGTCTATGCTTTCTGCAAAAAGAGAAGCATAGCTATAGAAAATTAAAAAGAAGATGAACAGCCCCCTGAGAGAATCATACAATATTATGTGCCTGGCACTTGGGCACAAGATGACTCATGGGGATACCAGACCCCCATTTACATGCTCAACCAAATCATATGGTTACAAGCTGTCTTAAAAATAGTCACTAATAAGACTGGCAGAGCCTTGACTATTCTGGCCCAGCAAGAAACTCATATGAGAAATGCTATCTATGAAAATAGATTGGCTCTCGACTACTTGCTAGCAGCTGAAGGAGGGATCTGTAGGAAATTTAACCTTACTAATTGCTGTCTACACGTAGATGATCAAGGGCAAGTAGTTGAAGACATAGTTAGAAATATGACAAAACTAGCACATGTGCCCGTGCAAGTGTGGCATGGATTTGATCCTGGGGCCATGTTTAGAAAATGGTTCCCAGCACTAAGAAGATTTAAAACTCTTCAAATAGGAGTTGTAATAGTAATAGAAACCTGCTTACTGCTCCCTTGTTTGCTACCTCTACTTCTTCAAATGATAAAAAGCTTCATCGCTACCTTAGTTCATCAAAATGCTTCAGCACAAGTGTACTATATGAATCACTATTGATCTGTCTTGCAAGAAGACATGGGTAGTTAGAATGAAAGTGAGAACTCCCACTAATGAGTGAAGTTCTCAAAAGGGGGAATAAAGGAGGAGACCACCCCTCATATTGTCTTATGACCAATTTCTGCCTCCAAAGAAAGAAGAAGTAAAAACTAAAAGGCAGAACTGATATCCAAAGGCAGACAGCCCAGCGCCACACCCTGGGCCTGGTAGTTAAAGATTGACCCCTGACCTAATCGGTTGTGTTATCTATAGATTACAGACATTGTATAGAAAAGCACTGTGAAAATCCCTGTCCTGTTCTGTTCTGTTCTGTTCTAATTACCGGTGCTTGCAGCCCCCAGTCACATACCCCCTGCTTGCTCAATCAATCACGACCCTCTCATGCAGACCCCCTTAGAGTTGTGAGTCCTTAAAAGGGACAGGAATTGCTTACTTGGGAAGCTCGGTTTTTGAGACATGAGTCTTGCTGATGCTCCTGGCCGAATAAAGCCCTTCCTTCTTTAACTCGGTGTCTGAGGGGTTTTGTCTGAGGCTCGTCCTGCTACACTAAGATTATAATAGAAGTGACTTGCCAAATCAATTTTCTACCTCTGTTTCACCACTGTATGGAAAAGCAGGTGACAAGACTGTGGCACAGAGGAAACAGGAATGCTGTTTTCTCACTGAGGCTGTTCAGAGCTTCAGTTGTCTGATTTCCTCAGCTGTGAATCTCTTTATGCACCCAGCCCCCTACCAGCTTCATAAAAATCAGGCTCCCAGGGAAGACCACAGCACAGTAGGATCCAATCTAAGAAGTGGATGTTCAAAAAATAAGGCAACATTTGCATGTGTAGAATATGTTTTTTGAGAAATATCATCATGAATTTCTTTTTAGGGCAGTGGGGCATTCAAACACTCAACTTGACAACCGACAATACCTTCAAAGAGAACATGCTGATTATAATAGTCAGATTTTCAGAAAACCTGAGGGCCAATTGCAATGCACTGAGTATTGTTTAAATGTGGATTGCATTCCACTAGATAGTTGTTAAATACCAACTCTATACAAGGTATCATGAGGATCACAGGCTGAGTAAAATAGTCCTTTCCCTTAAGACACACATCCTCACAGAATAGAGATGATGGTAGTAGTAAAATTAACCCTGACTAATATTTCCTGAGTGTTTACCATGTGTCAGATGCTTGATATGCATTATCTTCTATAATCTTTATGACAACCACAAGAAGTAAGGATTGTTTATTTCTTCATTTGCAGATAAAGAAACCAAAGCCAGAAGAAAGACAGTGGTGAAACCAAGATTCAAATTCCAAAAGTTGGACACCACCAAAGTTCCCACTCCTAAGCATTCTATTTATTACTATTATTATTATTATTATTATTATTATTATTATTATTATTATTTTGAGTACAGAGTCTGACCCTGTCACCCAGGCTGGCGTGTATTGGCACAATCATGGCTCACTGCAGCCTGATGCCCCTAGGCGTTCTGCTATATTGCATCCATTATCATGATGCTAAAACAGAAATGTGCATTGGGAATGACTGGGAGTGGAGAATAGATGAGTTGAGAGAACTAGGAGAAATTTTTTGAAAAGCTGTGAATACCATAACAAATAATATAAATGGCAATTCTTGAAGATTTTCTTCATCATCACATTCTCTTCTGTCTATTTTAGGCCAGGCACAGTGGTTCATGCCTGTAATCCTAGCACTTTGGGAGGCTGAGGCAGGTAGATCACCTGAGGTCAAGAGTTCGAGACCAGCCTGGCCAATGTGGTGAGACCCTGTCTCTATCAAAAATACAAAAATTAGACAAGTGTGGTGGCAGGTGCCTGTAATCCCAGCTATTTGGGAGGCTGAGGCAGGAGAATCACTTGAACCTGGGAGGCAGAGGTCACAGTGAGTTGGCACACCATTGTACTCCAACCTGGGCAACAGAGTGAAATTCCATCTAAAAAAAAAAAAAGTCTGTTTTTTACTTTATTCTTGCTCTTCAAACTTCCAACACCTTTGTTACTCTCCTTCTAGCTGCTGAGAGTCTTATTGTTTTGCTGAGAAAATAGAGGCAATCAGAAAAGAATTTCCAAAGAGTCCCAAGACTACATCAACAAACTTCTCTCCAATGTCCCCATGTACTCTGCCCACACTTTCTATGATGGAGGAACTTTCCATACTCCTATCTATGGCTAGCCCCTTCACCAGACACTGGGTCCCAGGCTTTCTCACCTTCTCAAGGACACTAATGACACTGCTTCAGCAAATGTCCCCTCTCTCCTGTGTTATCCATCATTATTCCTATTATCATGAAATTTGCCCTACCTAGCTCATTAAAAACAAACCTCCCTGTACCACATCATCCCTTTAAGCTACCTCCCTATTTTACTTTCTCATGACAGCAAAGTTTTTCTAAACTAAAGGACTGTTGTAACTCACTGCCTGTACTTCCTTACTTTTTTTCTGTCTTGAAAAATCTCCATTCAGGCTGTAACCACTTCACCAACACAATGTGAAAAACTGTGCTTATCAACTTCCCCCCTGTCCAATGGCAAAATTCAAATGTCAGTTACTCAACACAGTTGATTATTCTCTTCTCCTTGAAATCTTTTCTTCACTCAGCTTCCAGAGATCCCTTCTCCCTCATGGATAACTCTTCTCAGTCTCCTTGGCTGATTCCTCCTTATCATCTCACTTCTGACCATTGGAGCACCACAGTTTGTCCTTCTCTACCTATTCTTATTCCTTGGTGGTCTCATCTAGGCCTGTGGCTTCAAATATTATCTATATTATCTATATACAAATCCCAAGTGTGTATCTCCAGCACAGACACTTCCTGAATTCAATAAGCATATATCCAATTGTTTATATCTCAACACCTCTACTCAGACAGCTAATAAGCATGCAAGAGATATGTTCAAAAACATGATTCTAATCACATTCCAGGCCACTTACTCTGGCTACCTTACCCCTCCCTGTCAATAGCAATTTCATTACTCCAGTTGTTCAGGTCAAAATAATTGAAGTCATTTTTCACTCTTCTATTTTCATTCAGCAAATCCTATTAATCGTAGCTACAAGTTGTAACCAAGGGTCCAATCATTCTCTACACCCTCATCACTACCACTCTTGTCCAAACCACCAGCATCTCTCAACTTCATTTCTGTTACTTCCTCAGCTGATCTCACTGTTTTCATCTTTGCCCCTCTAGAGCCTATCTCCAGCCAACAGCCATCAATCCTTTTCAAATCTAAATAAGATCATGATACTCTTTTGTTCAAAGCCCTCCGACAACTTCTTTTATCATCAGAACAAAATCCAAAGTCCTTAGGATGAACTACAAAGCACAACTTGACTCAAGGTGGGGGGCACCACCCACTCACCCACCTCAAGCTCACCTTCCCTCACTCTCCCCCTTCCTCACTGTGCTCCAGCCACATCCACCAACTCTCACTCCTTGAACTCAACAAACACATTTCTTCAAGGCCTTTTCCCTTGCTATTAAGCCTCAAAAGCTCTCCCTCCAATCAAGTCTTAACTCAAGTTTCTTCTTATTTGGAAAAGTAACCCTCAAAACCTTATCCAAGAAAAGCACCATCTTTGTTATTTTCTGTTACTTTATTTTGCTTTGATTCCTAAAACTTACCACTTATCTATAGATAGATAGATAGATAGATAGATAGATAGATAGATAGATATGGAGAAAGACCCTCAACAAATGCTTATTAGTTTAATAAAAAGAGATTCATTGAAGATTTCTTAGTCAGATGAGAATCTAGATGTTGTTTCATGAATATACCGTGGCAGCAGTGCGTCAACTAGATTTGAGTGGACAAGAAGCTGTAATTAGGGAGACAAGTCAGAAGGCACTTGCAACTCAGACCTGCTAAGCCAGTATACTTGCAGTGGTGAGGGAGAACGAACACAAAAATTAGCCTATTTTCTAGCCTGCTTTGTCACTTCCCTGTGCCTACAAGAGCTGCTCTTTCCCCTATTGCAATCCTTCTATCATATTAGCCAGGAAATGTACTTCTGCTATAAAAAAAGTTAGTGACTTCAAATCTGAACTCCCAAGACATTAGTCAAAATACAGGTGGCCCCACTCTATCTCTTCAGATTTCCCACTACTCCCCAGGATTAAACCTCTGCTTTATTTAGACCGGTCTCCTTATAATACTATAAACTATGATTTGCTGTACTGGGACCAGATTTGATTCATTATTGGGTCCCTAGCACCTAATGCAAAGTGCAAACTCCTGACCTCAGTTGATCCACCTGCCTCAGCCTCCTAAAGTGCCAGGATTACAGGCATGAGCCACCGCACCCAGCCTTTCACACGTATTGAAACTTCTACCTGGGATGTTCTCTCCCTGTCTTTAATCACAATCATATAAAAATTATATTCATCAATTGGGCAAGATCTAATTTAAATCAAATCTTGTCTCTGAAGACTTCTCTGGCTATATCAGCCCATCTTAGAACACAATGTATTTATGGTCCCTACCTCCCAATTTAACATTATCCACAGCATGCTGGTATTATTCAGTAAATAACTCATGTATGTTATTCTTATTTTCTTAACTTAATCACTTTATTTAAGAAGCATTTCTTCACTCCCAAGACTAGAATAATGCTTCCATTGCACCCTATCTTATCATTATGTGGCATTAATCACCATGTAATCAAAATCTTGTAATTACCTTTTAAGCAAATCTCAATTCCCCACTAATTACAAACTAATTGAGAGCACAGAGTGGGGCCGAGCACAGTGGCTCATGCTTTTAATCCCAACACTTTAAGTGGCCAAGGCAGTAAGATCCATTGAGCCCAAGAGTTCAAGACCAGCCTGGGCAACAAAACAAACAAACAAACAAAAAATTAGCTGGACACAGTGGCATGCATCTGTAGTCCCAGCTACTCAGGAGGCTGAGGTGGGAAGATCCCTTGAACCCAGGAGTTCAAGGTTGCAGTGAGGTGTGATCACATCACTGCACTCCAGCTCGGGTGACAGAGCAAGATCTTGTCTTTAAGATTAAAAAAAAAAGAGCATAGATTGAGCCTTGTTCAAGGTTATAACCCCTGAAACAGTGCATAGCATATAAAAACAAATAATAATCACTGACTAAATGAATAAAGCTCCTAAAATAAAGGATTATATCTGATACAAGGGCCACAGCACTTTGCACTCAAATTCTTTAACATCTAAGGCATTCATTTTCTTCATTTCTACAATATATTTTACCCTCAAAAAACTGGGTATAGAAGAAACATATCTGAACATAATAAAACCATATATGATAAACCCACAGCTAGTATCATAGTGAATGGAGAAAAACTGAAAGCCTTTCCTCTAATATCTGGAACATGACAAGGATGCTCAGTGTCACCACTGTTATTCAACGTAGTACTGGGAGTCATAGCTAGAGTAATCAGACAAGAGAAAGAAATAACGAGCATCCAAATTGGAAAGGAAGAAGTCAAATTATTCTTTTTTTTTTTTTAGAAACTGATGCTTATTTTCCATCAACCATTTTTCCATGCTGCTTAAGAGCCTATGCAAGAACAGCTTAAGACCAGTCAGTGGTTGCTCCTACCCATTCAGTGGCCTGAGCAGTGGGAGCTGCAGACCAGTCTTCCATGGCAGGCTGAGAGCTCCAGTCTTCAGTAGGGAATTGCTGAATAGGCACAGAGGGCACCTGTACACCTTCAGACCAGTCTGCAACCTCAGGCTGAATAGCAGTGAACTCAGGAGCTGGAGCAGTCCATTCACCCTGAAATTCCTCCTTGGTCACTGCCTTTTCAGCAGCAGCCTGCTCTTCTTTTTCAATCTCTTCAGGATCTCTGTAGAAGTACAGATCAGGCATGACCTCCCATGGGTGTTCACAGGAAATGGTGCCAAGCATGCACAGAACTTCCCGAGCCAGCATCCACCACATCAAACCCACTGAGTAAGCTCCCTTGTTGTTGCATGGGATGGCAATGTCCACATAGCGCAGAGGAGAATCTGTGTTACACAGCGCAATGGTAGGTAGGTTAACATAAGATGCCTCCGTGAGAGGCTGGTGGTCAGCCCTGGGGTCAGTAACCACAAGAAGCCGTGGCTCCCGGAAGGCTGCCTGGATCTGGTTAGTGAAGGTTCCAGGAGTGAAGCGCCCAGCAATTGGAGTGGCTCCAGTGGCAGCAGCAAACTTCAGCACAGCCGTCTGGCCAGTATTCCTGGAGGATATAACACTGACATCAGCAGGGTTTTCAATGGCAACAATAGCATGAGCTGCCAGCAGAAGCTTCTCCCAGGTCCTCTTCAGATTTATGATATAGATGCCATCACTTTTCCTTTCATAGATGTACTGTTCCATCTGGAAGTCAAGATTGGTGCCACCTAAGTGGGTTCCTGCTGCAAGGAACTTAAGGACATCCTCCTCCCTCATTTGCAGGACATCAAGGGCTCCGGACATTGTGAAAGTTTCCCTTTAAGTTACAACGGGAATCCAGAACAGCGCCGTATGGACCCCTCTGCAGGTAGCGCGGAAAGCAAAGTCAAATTATTCTTGTTTGCAGATGATATAATCTTATATTTGGGAAAACCTAAAGATTTTACCAAAAAACTATTAGAACTGATTAACAATTCAGTAAAGTTGCAGTATACAAAATCAACATACAAAAATCAGTAGCATTTCTATATGCTAACAGTGAACAATCTGAAAACAAAATAAAAAAGTAATCTCATTTGCAATGGCCACAAATGAAACTAAATACCTAGGAATTAACCAAAGAAGTGAAAGATCTCTCTAATGAAAATTATAAAACACTGATGAAAGCAATTGAAAAGGACACCAAAAAAATGGAAAGATATTCCATGTTCATGGATTGGAAGAATCAATATTGTTAAAATGTCCATAATACCCAAAGTAATCTACAGATTCAATGCAATCTCTATGGAAATACCAATAACAGTCTTCACATAAATAGAAAAAACAATCCTAAAATTTATATAGAACCACAAAAGACCCAGGATACTCAAAGCTATTCTAAGCAAAAAGAACAAAACTGGAGGAATCACATTACCTGACTTCAAATTATGTTACACAGCTATAGTAAACAAAACAGCATAGTACTGGCATAAAAACAGACACATAGACCAAAGGAACAGAAAGATAACCCAGAAACAAATCTATACATTTATAGTGAACTCATTTTCAATGAAGGTGTCAAGACTACACACTGGGGAAAAGACAGTCTCTTCAATAAATGGTGCTGGGAAAACTGGATATCCATATGCAGGGAAAGAAATTAAACCCCTCTCTCATCGTATACAAAAATGAAATAAAAATGGATTAAAGACTTAAATCTAAGACCTTGAACTATGAAACTACTACAAGAAAACATTAAAGAAACTCTCCAGAACATTGGTCTGGGCAAACATTTCTTGAGTAATACCCTACAAGCACAGACAACCAAAGCAAAAATGAACAAATGGGATCACATCAAATTAAAAAGCTTCTGCACAGCAAAGGAAACAATCAAAGTGAAGAGACAATCCACAGAGTGGGAGAAAATATTTGCAAACTACCCATCTGACACGGGATTAATAATCAGAATATATAAGGAACTCAAACAACTCTATATGAAAAAAATCTAATAATCTGATCAAAAAATAAGCAAAAGATTTGAATAGACATTTCTCAAAAGAAGACATACAAATGGCAAGCAGGCATATGAAAAGATGCTCAACGTCATTTATCATCAGAGAAATGCAAATAAAAACTACAATGAGATTTCACCTCACCCCAGTTAAAATGGCTTATATCCAAAAGGCAGGTGATAAAAAATGCTAGGGATGTGGAGAAAAGGGAACCCTCATACACTCTTGGTGGGCATGTAAATTATTAATTGTACAGCCACTATGGATAATAGTTTGGAGATTCCCCAAAAAACTAAAAACAGAGCTACCATATGATCCAACAATCCACTGCTAGGTATATATCCAAAAGAAAGAAAACCAATATGTGAAAGAGGCATCTACACCCCCATGTTTGTTACAACACTGTTCACAATAACCAAGATTTGGAAACAACCTAAAGTGTCCATCCACAGGTGAATGAATAAAGAAAATGTAGTACTATACACAGTGCAGTACTATTCAGCCATAAAAAAGAATGAAATCCTGTCATTTGCAACAACATGGATGGAACTGAAAGTCATTATGTTAAGTGAAATAAGCCAGGCACAGAAAGGCAAACAGTGTATTTTCTCACTTATTTGTGGGATATAAAAATCAAAACAATTGAACTCATGGAAATATAGAATAGAAGGATGGTTTCCAGAGTCTGGGAAGGGTAGTGAAGCAGTGGGAGAGAGGTGGGGATGGTTAATGGGCCCCAAAAAAATAGAAAGAATGAATAATCTACTACTTGATAATACAACAGGGAGACTATAGTCTAATAATTTATTTATTTTATTTATTATTATTATTATTATTATTATTATTATTATTATTATTAGAGACAGGGTCTTACTCTTATTGCCCAGGCTGGCTTACTGCAACCTTGACCTTCTGGGCTCAGGAGATCCTCCCATGTCTGGTTCCCAAGTAGCTGGGACTACAAGTGTGCACCGCCACACTCAGCTAATTTTTAAATTTTTTTGTATAGACAGGATTTCATCATGTTGCCTAGGCTGGTCTCGAACTCCTGGGCTCAAATGATCCACCCACCTCAGCCTCTCAAAGTTCTGGGATTACAGGCACGAGCCACCTCACCCAGCCTATAGTCAATAATTTTCTTTTTTTTTAGACGGAGTCTCACTCTGTCAACCTCCACCTCCCTGGGTTCAAGCGATTCTCCCGCCTCAGCCTCCTGAGTAGCTGGGATTACAGGCATGCATCACCAAGCCTGGCTAATTTTTTTTATTTTTAGTAGAGACGGGGTTTCACCATGTCGACCAGGCTGGTCTTGAACCCCTGACCCCAAATGATCTGCCCGCCTCAGCCTCCCAAAGTGCTGGGATTACAGGCATAAGCCACCATGCCTGGCCATATAGTCAATAATAATTTAATTGTACATTTTTAAATAACCAAAAGAGTATAATTGAATTGTTTATAACACAAATAATAAATGCTTGAAGGGATGGATACCCCATTCTCCACAATGTGCTTATTTCACATTACGTGCCTATATCAAAATATCCCATGTATCATATAAATATATACACCTACCATATACCCGCAAAAATTAAAAATTAAAAAAAGTTTTAAATAAAATAAATTTTAGAACTCAGACAAGTCACCTCTACTATAATTGTAATAACAAAAGCTTTCATGAGCTTTGCTCAAAAGTATTTTTTTATTCATCCATTTTCATTCAATAAACAAAAATTTATTGAGTACACTGTACTAAAAACTGTGTGAAATAGGAAAGCAGGTAAAGCAGGGAGTCTGCTCTCAAAGAATAGGCAAGATAAACATGTACACAAATATTTACAAGGCAATATTTTACTACAGGAATTCAAAAGACTGAAAGATTCATTATGGCTGATACAATTACAAAAAACTCCAAAAGATCCAAGTAGGACCTTTTGAAAGATAAATAGAATCACACTAGGTGACCACTAGGATCTTTCAAGTTACAGAGAACGGCTTGAGAAAAGCACTAAGCCAGGCTTTGAATCTAAGTGTCTGACTTAAAACCTTTAACCACTACATGACACTGCCCCTTAACAGGGAGCACAACCCGCATCCAACTATTCAATTATCCCAGAGTTTGATGTTTGAAGACATTGCCTGTCCTCCCCTCCCACTTCTTTCCTCTCTCCTTCTCTTATCTCCCTCACCTCTCTCTCTCTCACACACATACACACACACACACACACACACACACACACGTCCATTCACTTGAACTAAAAACATTGAAAGCATTATTTTTAAAAAATGAAAGAAAAACATTTTCCCACTCCCATTCTTAACCTTTAAATATCAGTTTATTTCTAGTAAAAGGTCTTGGTGGCTGAATCATCCTGATAATGGCTTAGATTTGCTGCTACATACATGTAGTCACAGCCTCCCTCTAGACTCACTCCCTGACAACTTCTGTAAGGAAAATGAGCTCTATGGAATAGAAATGATATTAGTCATGCTCATTTCATCCCAGAGATTTCAACTATCCCATGTTCTAAAATTGTCAAGATTTTATTTTCAACCGTCGTTTCCTATTTTATGGGCAAAGTTCCCAGCATCTTCAGGGAGGGCAAGTTTCACACCTCAGGACTAACTGCCAGATTGGTGGGAGACCTTTCATTGAATTTAATACCCAAATAAATTAAGGTTTTCAAAGTTGACGTAAAACCTCATTAGGCAAACATTGGTAACACAGAGAAGAATCTTATAATAGATCTCATTCCGTTTATTCCATTCCCAGATTTGCTACTGAAGTCTTTAATAATTTTTAGATTGTCTCAGATGGAGACACACAGATAATTAGTTAATGCAAACAAAATATTGACACATGGTTTTAAAAATAAAGAGAAACAGGATATGAGAGGATATAAGCCCTTGCAGCAGAAAATAATACAAGACAAACAGCAGCCTCCATGCAGCCCAGCCTCAACTTCCATTTTCTGAACATACGTACATTTCCTCAAATAACAAAGTCATAACCATTGTTATACTTTAAAAACTACCTACCTTCCTCTGTCCTTTCCCTGCTCCCTCCCCTAAAGAGCAATTCAGTGGATGGTTCTATACATCAACTAGGTTTGTGGCACCACTGTAGGTTTACAGTTCAAACTGTTTTTCTAGAGAGAGCTAAGGAAGAGGCTAACAGAAGTTCTCTGGTTAACCTTGTCCTCACTCTTACAGGGCCACCTCCAAGTAGGGCGAGGAGGAGACCCATTAGGCTCTGTGGGAGCCAAGACTGCCTTGTCTGGCAGCCTCAGGTTGGCATTGAGATCTGGATTGTCACTCCCTATGTGGCCTTGGGTACAGTATGGTATTGAAACTCCCTCTGCTTCAGTTTCCTTGTGAATAAAACCTAGATGATACTTACCCTATAGGACTTTCCTATGGATTAAACAAAATTTGTTTAAAAATCAAAGTGTCAGAGATATGGAAGCATCCAAAGAGCAGTAACTACTAGATTATACTAACAAGCTCTACTAGTGAAACTTTCTTCCCTCTCTTAAGTATTTCTCCCATTTCCTGTGATTCAGGACAGTATCAACGGGTCTTTGCTCTCTCTAGGTCACACTGCCTCTTTAGAGTTTCTTCTACCCTGCCCCTCTTTTTTGTCAAAACAACCTATCCTCACATTCCTAGTTCATCTGCTCTCACCATGGGGGTTACCTCCCTTTTCTGTTTTGCATTTTGTCTTTAATAATATATTTATTATGTTCATAGATATATGTTTAATAATATATAATAACCTATATTATATAGGTAATATATAGGTAATATATTATATAGGTAATATATTATATATATGTTATATAATATATAATAACCTATATTATTTATAATAATATAAAATAACCTATATTTTTTAGCTCCTGACAGTTTACAAGCACTATCACAGCCCAGTTCTCACCTGATCCTCCTCATGGTCCCATGAGAGAAGCAGAATGGATATTGTTTTTCTTCATCTTACCTAAAGAAATTGAGGGTCCAAGTGATGAAGGGATTTGCTCAAGGTCATACTGAGAGAGAAAGAGGCAGAGTTCTAGAGCTGAGGATACAACAGGGGGCACCAATGCCTCTGCCGTCAGGGAGCTTTCATTTTAACTACAATACATTTATCAAAAATAAATTAATTATTACATAATAAATCAATGATTTATAATGCCAGGGAGTTATAACTGCTATAGAAAATAACAAAGCCGGATAAGGGGATAAAGAGAAAGTGACTGTATTGAAGTGAATGGGGAGAGTCATTTAGATAGGACATTCAGAGAAAACCTCTTTTGAGCAGTTGAGGAAGTGAGTCATGTGAATATCCATAGACAGGTCATAGCAAGTAGAAGGACCAGCAAGGACAAAGGCCCTGAGGTAGGTGTGTTCTTGGCTTAAAAAATAGCATGTTGAACAGGGTGCCATGACTCATGACTATATTCCCAGCACTTTGGTAGGCTGAGGCAGGAGGATCACTTGACCCCAGGAGTTCAAGACCAGCCTGGGCAACATAGTGAGGCTTTGACTCTACAAAAAAATAAAAATAGCAAATAGAAAAAATTAGCATGCATGGTAATGGGAGGCTGAGATGGGAGGATCATTTGAGCCCATAAGTTCGAGGCTGCAGTGTGCCATGCTCACATCACTGCACTCCAGCCTGGACGGCAGAGCAAGACTCCAACTCAAATAGAAACAAACAAACAAACAAAAGAACAGTATGTCCATTGAGCATTAATTTTACTGATTATGATTAAGTGTTATTTGAAGGAAGCATTCTGTAGTCCAATAACTTTCAGAGCCTCTGGATAAAGCACAGCTTCCAAGCGCGAATAGTCTTAATATATGAATGCACTCTGTGATCTTCTTGAAGGAGCTATAGCGTGCAGCATTGTGCAGTGTTATTCAAGTATGAAAACCTTTTCTCAAGGAGCACCTCAGGGGATTTGTACTGCAAGGAGCACTCTGGAAAATGCTGCACCACACCCTGCTTCTACTGGAAAGAGGAAGTTGGGCTAGGAACTAGAACTTCAGGCACTGCGTAAAGCCAATGGAAGCCACCCTCGGAGACACAAATTGCATCAGGCGGTGGCCAACTCCACTTATCCACAGTGTGAATGTTCAGCCACTCCTGTTTTTTGTCACTATCTGAAACTACTCGTGGCCCCTATTTCCTGTCTGGATCACTGGTGTTTTCCATGACTTAACCCTGGTGAGCTGTTTCCAAGCTCTGCTGACCTTCAGTAGTGTTCTCATTTGGGGAAATGGAAGCAGAAACAGGCACGTATGGCAATCTGCTCAGAGGATGCTCCCCTGCTGACTGGGGGTGGGAACCATAGCGAGGGAAGAGGGGATTTCCATTGCCCTGAATAAAGTGTGGAGCTGGTGGCCTCCCCTGCAGCCTTGAGCAGGAATTCAGCTCAGGCTGTGTCACATGAGCACTGAGCTCCAGGGCCATGGACAAGTCTAGAGGCGATATAGCTGCAGACAGGTGGAGGACACTGCAAGAGGAAGGCTCCCATTTAGCAGGAAAACTGCCAGCTGGGAAGAATGCTGGTGGCTGCCTGAGTTGGGAAGAATTCCCAAGCCCTCTGCAAGCTCAGAAGCCAGGAAATGAATGGGAAGCAGCTGGAGTGGGCCAAGCAAGTCAAGGCAAATGGCCCAGAAGTGAGCAGAAGGGGGCCAGGCCCACCCCCAGGAAACCCAGCAGAGGTCAACTAGGCCTGTGGCACTGGAGGAGGCTAGGAGAGGTGAGCAGCCGGTCTCAAGATTATCACTCTGTGGGCCTGGACAGAATTTTATCAGAAGAGTGCCAAAAGGAGTCATCTGTTGGCTTTAAAAAAAATTAACTGTATAAATAGAGGTTAATTCCAGATGTTGCTTAATCCTAAAATACATAACATTTAAGTGATGGAGTGTAAATACTAAATGAATTATTTCTTTTAGGACTTTCAACGGAATCCTACAAAAGATCTGGCTAAGAGCTTGGCCAAAGACTAACAAATACATCCTGGATAAAATTAAATTTTTGTCCTTGTGATGCCTCATCAGAGGGGTTAAAAACATCAGTTCGGGTCTATGATCTATGCACAATTGAGAACATCTACTGAAAGCAATAAATGCCTAATGCCCCAGGCTAGAATTGGTGAGTATTTTCTCTTCATGTGATGCAATAGATACAATTAACAAAACAAGGCCGGGTGCAGTGGCTCATGCCAGTAATCCCAGCACTTTGGGAGGCTGAGGCAGGAGGATCGCTCGAGCTCAGGAGTTGGAGACAAGCCTGGGCAACATGGCAAAAACCCATCTCCACAAAACATTCAAAAAATTAGCTAGACATAGTGGCGCGTGCCTGTAGTCCCAGCTACTCGGGAGGCTGAGGTGGGAGAATCACTTGAACCCCAGAGGTTGCAGTGAGCCAAGATGGCACCACTGTACTCCAGTCTGCTGACAACATGAGACCCTATCTCAAAAAGAAAAAAAAAAATGCTGGGCACAGTGGCTCACGCCTGTAATCCCAGCACTTTGGGAGGCCGAGGCGGGCGGATCACGAGGTGAGGAGATCCAGACCATCCTGGCTAACACGGTGAAACCACATCTCTACTAAAAATACAAAAAATTAGCCGGGCCTGGTGGCGGGCGCCTGTAGTCCCAGCTATTCAGGAGGCTGAGACAGGAGAACGGCGTGAACCCGGGAGGCAGAGCTTGCAATGAGCCGAGATCACGCCACTGCGCTCCAGCCTGGGGGACAGAGCGAGACTCCCTCTCAAAAAAAAAAAAAAAAAAAAAAACAAGAACTATTGTAACTTTTATTATGTGTTGAGGGCTTGCCGAGTGCCAGAAATTTTACACACAGCCTTTTTAATGGTTACAATAAGCTAGTATTACTATACCCATTTTATAGATGAAGAAACTGAGGTTCAGAAAGATTAAGGAATTTGTTCAATGCCACGAGGCTAATTACGTGATTGGTTTGGAATGCAGACCCAGATCACTCTGACCTGAAAGTCAAACGCGTTTTTCCTATTACACGCTGTTATCACATAGCACCAGAAGATAATTAGAACTCAGAAGTCGAAGTTTAAGAAATCACAAAATGCCATCCTACGACACTCGTCCACTCACTAATGATTTATAAAATAAATTGTTTTAGTATCTTCTTTATCAGACATTGGGAAGATCAATAAATATTTGCATGGTGCTTTGAGAGAATTAGAAAGCAAATGCTAGATTTTTGTTGCTGTTGTTGTTTTTTAAAGAATGTTTTATGCCATGAGATAGATCAGGCATAAACCTGGACTGGTTCAGCTGCTCTAGGTCACCCGAGTTGTCGTAGCTTTGCACCCTTATGTGAAGCAGCTGGGTTAGAGCTTCCTCCATGACATTAAAGGCAATCAGAGTCGTAGGTAGTACTTCACCAGCTTCTGAGAAACTTGGTATTCTTGTTCATTCTTCCCTGCTCCTCAAACTGCTCTTTAATTCTGAAGACCCTTTCAGAAGAATGTAAAAATGTAATCAAGAAACAATCAAATTGGACTTCGCAGGGTCTACGTGAAATTCTCATGGATCCTCATATACTTAATCCCTTAAGTGATCCCTTTTTTCTTCTCCCTCCGACACATCTTCCCAGAGCCAAGCCACTGGCATTCTTAACTAAAGATGAACTCAATCCTTTCTGTTTAATTTGCTTTTATTTTAATAAAGTATTAAATTGTTCAATTCATAAGCCTATTACTGTGTGCCAGCCACATATTTCCAGAAAAAAAGGGAGGGGGGAATTGGTTCCAACAAAACTGTCATTGGTGTTGCTTATTCATTTTGTTTTTATTGACAAGGTCATGCATTTATACATTTTTCATCTGCATACCATTGCAATACACAGCCAGGGCTGAAAATAGTACCTAAACTCTTGACCACAATGATAGCTTTAATAGCATGTAATTCATATAATCCCTCAAAGTTGCCTAGGTAATCTAACTTTAGTTAATAAGAGGTATCTGTGTAAAAACACCAAGGAGAAAATATGCTTTATTTTCGTCAGTATAAATATACACACTGATATTCATCATCATATCTTAGAAATAATAAAGTATTGTAAAACACTTTTCAATAGTTTTTACTAACAACCTCCATACTATACCCATGATTGAAAATATCTACAACCAAAAGAGAAATTGAGGGACAAAATTAATTAATTTACATAAAACCACCAAGAAAGTTAAAAGTATGCAGTCTGTAATCTAGATCAATTTAAGTTCAACATTAAAGCTTCTGCATAAAAATTCCTTTGTAGTAAGATGACCTTTAATTTTCAGAGGCTTTGTAGCTATTCTTGTAATCATTCAAGGTCAAATGGAAAAAGATAAAGTGAAACAAAGCTTGCCCATCTTTGCAATAAGGTGACAAATTCTCTTTCAATCTTTTCCCTACCTCAATGCATTGAAACCAAGTGTTTGTTTGTTTGTTTGTTTGTTTGTTTTGAGACAGAGTCTCGCTCTGTCGCCCATGCTGGAGTGCAGTGGTGCTAACTCAGCTCACTGCAACCTCCGCCTCCCAGGTTCAAGTGATTCTCCTACCTCAGCCTCCCGAGTAGCTGGGATTACAGGCATGCACCACCATGCCCAGCTAATTTTTGTATTTTTAATAGAGAAGGGGGTTTCACCATGTTGGACAGGCTGGTCTCAAACTCCTGACCTCAAGTGATCCGCCCGCCTCGGCCTCCCAAAGTGCTAGGATTACAGGCGTGAATCATGGCGCTCAGCCTGAAACCAAGTTTTTTTCAACCTAGTTCTATGTAACTATAGCCACTCTTATTTGCCTACAATTAGATTTATTGCAGCTTCAAATAATTTATTTTAGCATTTGAACCCAAAGCAACATCCATTTTATAACAGGTGAAGTTACTTAGTGGTAAAATCTGAGGGACATTAGAATAACTTCCCTTTTATAATCTGAGGGACATTAGAATAACTTCCCTTTGTCACTGATATACTGAAATTCATATGTTAGTGTCCCCAGGCTCATATCCTTACCCACCCCTGCCCACAGAACCTGCTCTAGGTCAGCTGTGGCATCTCACCAGATCTATAGGGCTAACATATACTAAGTTATCAAAGCGTGGTTCCCAGGCAAAGAGCACCAGTGTTACCTGGAAACTTGTTAGAAATGCAAATTTTGGGCCCTTCTCAGGAAGAATTTTCTTTTTATGTCTTTCTTTCTTTCTTTCTCTTTCTTTCTTTTTTCTTTCTTTCTTTTCTTTCTTTCTTTCTCTCTTTCTCTCTTTTTCCTCTTTCTTTCTTTCTTTCTTTCTGTTTCAATTTCTCTGGCCTAATTGTTGGGTGAGACTCTCCTTGAATCTTACTTCACTCTTCTAAAAAACACAATTATTTCTAGGGAAAAATCATTTAAGTTCTCACATTTTTCCTTTGTATTTATTTACAAAGCCTCTCAGGTATCAAGAAAGAGTTACTTTTTATTTTTCTCTTTTTTTTTTTTTTTAGCCTCTGATCTTATTAAAAGGGAAGAAATATCTAAATAGTATTACAACAAATTACATAAATGTTAGCTTCAGCAAAGTAATGTTTTTAACTGTTCCCATCACCATCACCACCATCACTGAAAGCTGGTGAGAAAATCTACTGAAAGGGGTGAGATTTCAGTAGATCTCACACACACACTACAATATTACATCTGACCCCTTTCAGTAGGTTTTCTCACAACACAATGTAATATGCACACAATACAATGTAATATTCAAAAGATAATTGCAGGATTTATCCTAAAATATTAATTCATGGTGATATAATTCAGTAATAAAAATGCACATTTCAAGTCACAGAATGCATCCTATCACTGAAACTCTATGTATGACCGTATTTGGGGATGGCACATGTAAATCCAAATTTTACATCATTTGCAAATATAGCTACTCCTACCTACGATAAGACCTTATTCCCTTATTCACTAGCAAATATATATAGATATAGATATAGATATAAGATGTACTTTCTTTTAGAACAAGGAAGAAAAAGATAGATTTAGATACTGATTTCTCCTTTGATCATTCAAACCTCAGAAAAGGGATCTTGAGTCTGAATTTCTTTGAAAGCATCATCTCATCAGAAAGAATTTATTAAGTATGCAGTTATTTCTCCCATTCTGTCCAATCGAACAATTTAAGCCCTGAAAACAAAGGAAGAAGCCTTTCCCATGCCAGCCATATCAATGGCAGAGCATAAAAACACATTCATGTTATTCATTCATCTAATGTTACAATAGTAGCAACACAAAGATTTAATTTAATAACCTAACGGATCATCTTTCTTAAGTTATTAAAATACCATATAAGGATGGTTTAAACTGTCTATGAGGCAATTTTCTAAGAGGAAAAAGTTTGGCAGGCTTTTATGGCTCCAGATGATTTCTCATTCTAGCTCTAATGTCAGAGTTAACCTATCACCATATTTCTTTATCTGTTTACAAAATCTGTGGTTCATTTTTCCTCAATGTTTCAACTTTGCTAGAAATGCTGGGCAACAGGAAAGAATGAGGTCATGACTCACCAGCTTATTAGGTGACTCTTTGCAGTGACTATAAATGCTACCATCAGTCTCATTTTTATGGTGCTGATAAAGGAGGATAACCTGCATAAGGGAGTTAGTTAAATGACCCAAAATGTCATTGCTCAACACTGGAGATGCATTGATTTGTAGTCCTATAATTGAAAAACAGGATATGAAGTCTTTAGGGGCTGGCTGGTCAGCTGGTCAACCAAAGAGTATATCATTATAACAGCAGAAGGAAATGTCATACAGCTTTTCTCTAAGTGCATCATAGAATTTATTTTGCAAATGCTTTTCTTTTTCTTTTTTACTGGTTCATTTGCAGCTTTTATTTGCTTTTGCTTCTAGCTCAAACATGTTTTATGATGGTTCTTTCTGAAAATTATCTGTACTCCCTTCCAAAGAACAGTTTCTCTGCTTAGCAATATGAACAAACATTGTGAACACTTTGAAAAGCAACACAGTTAATGAGTTTACTGTTAATAGCACGATGAAATGCAAGAAGACTCTAGTTCTATGTATTTTCTTCTTGTGACATCATTTGACATCCTATGATCATACTGTTTCAAATAGTTATATAAAGCACAAAATGTAAAGAAAATACAGAAATTGGGATGTATAAGTATAGAAAACGAAATGTTTTGGAGAATCGAAATCTATCTTATTTTATCTTATTTTTTATTTTTATTTATTTATTTATTTTTGAGACAGAGTCTCATTCTGTCACCCAGGCTGGAGTGCAGTGGTGTGATCTCGGCTCACTGCAAGCTCCGTCTCCCGGGTTCACAGCATTCTCCTGCCTCAGCCTCCCTAGTAGCTGGGACTACAGGCACCCGCCACCACGCCCAGCTAATTTTGTTGTATTTTTAGTAGAGACGGGGTTTCACCATGTTAGCCAGGATGGTCTCAATCTCCTGACCTCATGATCCGCCAAAAGTGGATTTGGCCTCCCAAAGTGCCGGGATTACAGGCATGAGCTACCGCACCCAGCCAATCTATCTTTAGGGATTTAGGGAAATAAAAACATTGGTAAAATTACAAAAATGATGTCGAATCATGATTTAAGAGAGGTACTGGTCAGTGAAGCATTCTTCTGCATTTAATGATCATACCAACTACAAATATACCATGGGAAACATTTGATAGAATGAAGGTTCATTAGATTCTCTAATAAGAGGAGTAAAAGAATGTATATATAACTGCATTCAGACCTAAAAAGAAATAAACACATATTATTACATAGAAAATCACAGGATGAAAGGGTAAATTTGATTATCCTTGAAAATGAGAGACACCTTGATTTTTTTTTTTTTTTTTTTTGAGACAGAGTCTCACTCTGTCACCCATGCTGGAGTGTAGTGGCGCCATCTCAGCTCACTGCAGCCTCTATCTCCCAGATTCAAGTGATTCTTCTGTCTCAGCCTTCCTAGTAGCCGGGCATGTGTCACGACGCTCAGCTAATTTTTGTACTTTTAGTGGAAATGGGGTTTCACCATGGTGGCCAGGCTGGTCATGAACTCCTGACCTCAAGTGATCCACCCGCCTCGGCCTCCCAAAGTGCCGGGATTACAGGCATGAGCCACTGTGCCCAGCCTGAAATCTTGATTTTTAAAAGCCTAGGCGGGGCACGGTGGCTCACGTCTGTAATCTTAGCACTTTGGGAGGCCGAGGCGGGTGGATCACCTGAGGTCAAGAGTTTGAGACCAGCCTGGCCAACATGGTGAAACCCCGTCTCTACTAAAAATACAAAAATTAGCCAGGCATGGTGGCACGCTCCTGTAATCCCTGCTACTCAGGAGGCTGAGGCAGGAGAATTGCTTGAACCTGGGGGGCGGAGGTTGCAGTGAGCCGAGATTGTGCCATTTCACCCCTGCCTGGGCGAAAGAGTGAAACTCCGTCCCCCTAAAACAAAACAAAACAAAACAAAAAAACAACTAACTTTGAGTAAGATAGTGTATTAAACTAAAGAAAGGTGGGGGCAAAACATATTTTAGTCATCTTGTGACCACAAGTACAAAGAAAGGTAGGACCAACCTGAGCAACATTAAAAAAACAAAACAAAAAAAAAAAAAAAACAAGGAAAGGATTATGATAAGAAGCCTTCTGAAATATCAAAAGATTTTCACAGTCAACAAAACCTGGGCCCTCCCTGTGATAACTCAGAAACACTGTTTGTCGAAACCAAATTATCCTGTGCTTCACGTGAGAGGCCTTTAATTTCTTTTTTTTTCTTTTTTCTTTTTTCTTTTTTTTTTGAGACAGTCTCGCTCTGTTGCCCAGGCTGGAGTGCAGTGGTGCAATCTCGGCCCACTGCAAGCTCTGCCTCCCAGGTTCATGCAATTCTCCTGCCTCAGCCTCCCGAGTAGCTGGGACTACAGGCGCCCACCACCACGCCTGGGTAATTTTTTTGTATTTTTTTAGTAGAGATGGGGTTTCACCGTGTCAGCCAGGATGGTCTCGATCTCCTGACCTCGTGATCTGCCCGCCTTGGCCTCCCAAAGTGCTGGGATTACACGCGTGAGCCACCACACCCAGCCGAGAGGCCTTTAATTTCAAGTAGAAGTGTGCAATGGATAAATCTAACTTGCTAAAGTAAATTCTAACAATTGAGCTGTGAAATACTGAAGCCTCTTCACATTCAAGAAATGATTTCCGCATTTCTTTCTTTTTCTTTCTTTTTTCTTTTTCTTTTTTTTTTTTTTTTTTTTTTTTGAGACGGAGTCTCGCTCTGTCGCCCGGGCTGGAGTGCAGAGGCGCGATCTCGGCTCACTGCAACCTCCGTCTCCCGGGTTCACGCCATTCTTCTGCCTCATCCTCCCGAGTAGCTGGGACTACAGGCGCCTGCCACCACACCCGGCTAATTTTTTCTATTCTTAGTAGAGACGGGATTTCACCGTGTTAGCCAGGATGGTCTGGATCTCCTGACCTCGTGATCCACCTGCCTCGGCCTCCCGAAGTGCTGGGATTACAGGCGTGAGCCACCGCGCCCCGCCTATTTCTGCATTTCTAAGAATTCACAGGATAAAACATACGATTGTGAGATTCCTCTAATGATACTCTTTCAGAACACACACTCACTTTATAACTCATGACTCTCCAAGAAGCTTTCCCAAATGTGACTCCCACAATCTCAATCAATTCCTCATGGAATTCTTGATTCTGCCTCTTCACAGCTACATTCAGCCATAATTGGGAAAAATCTCATGAAAATAATTCTACAGCCTTGTTCTTGACAATCATGAGTGCCTTGATCTTCAGGACAGTGCTATCTAAAAGCCTTTCCAGATATGCAAGGGGTAGGGACCATCCTCCTCACCCTTCTAGATTACCGCCCCACTTCCCACCTACCTGGGATTTAGTTTACTGGCAAGATTCACCCCGCCCAAGGCCTACCCTACCCAACCTACTTCAAGCCACTAGAAACTACAGTACAGGAGTACTTTGGCCCAACTCCATAAAAAGGGAAACACCTGTGCAAAAATAAACATGGTGATTTTCTTACTGACCACATCCCAACTCAAGAGCACTTTAATATCCATTTCATAATGCTGTTTCCACAAAGGAGGCAGGTATGTAATACCAACTGAAACCCAATCAAATCCAGAAAAAGACCATGAAGTTGTATTGCAACTAATCTTTACATTCACATGTAACAGATTTAATGTTGTTGGGTTTGCTTGTTTGTTTTTGAGACAGTCATGCTCTACTACTCAGGCTAGGGTGCTGTGGCTTCATCATAGCTCACTACAACCTTAAACTCCTAGGTTCAAGGGATCCTCCCACCTCAGCCTCCCAGGTGGCTAAAACTACAGATATGTGCCACTGTGCCGAGCTATCTTTTCTATTTTTTGTAGAGATAGGGTCTCTATGCTGCCAAGTCTCAAACTCCTGGGCTCATGCAAGCCTCCCAAAGTGCCAGAATTACAGGCATGAACCACAGTGCCCAACCCTAACATTGTTATTTTTTAACAAATAGTTTTCTATTTCTCAGTTTTCATTTTGAGAATGATAAACATTGATATATATAATCTATATAAACACAAGCTCTTTGGGGCCTGAATTATTTTTAAGAGTTTAAACAATCCTGAGACCAAAAAGTTTGAGAACCATTTTCCTAGGGAAAAACAAAACAGATTTCAGAAAGAGGGATCTGCTCACTACCCCCAATGCCCTCCAGTCTTGCTTTCTCTGCTCCCTTCTACGTAAGCCCCACCCAAGCAGTCTTTAGAAATGTCAGTCTAGGCCAGGCCTGGTAGCTCATGCCTATAATCTCAGCACTTTGAAAGGCCGAAGCAGGCGGATCACCTGAGGTCAGAAGTTTGAGACCAGCCTGGCCAACATGGCGAAATCCCATCTCTACTAAAAAAACAAAAATTAGCCAGACGTGGTGGTGGGCACCTGTAATCCCAGGTATTCAGGAGGCTGAGGCAGGAGAACCACTTGAACCTGGGAGGCGGAGGTTGCAGTGAATGGATACTGCGCCACTGCACTCTAGCCTGAGCCACAGATCGAGATTCTGTCTCAAAAAAACAAACAAAAAAAAAGGCCAGGAGTGGTGGCTTACGCCTGTAATCCCAGCACTTTGGGAGGCTGAGGCGGGCGGATCACCTGGGGTCGGGAGTTCCAGACCAGCCTGATCACCATGGAGAAATCCCATCTCTACTAAAAAAACAAAATTAGCTGGGCATGTTGGCTCATGCCTGTAACAGCTACTCGGCAGGCTGAGGCAGGAGAATCGCTTGAATCCGGGAGGCACAGGTTGCAGTGAGCCGAGATCGCACCATTGCACTTTAGCCTGGGCAACAAGATCGAAATCCCGTCTCAAAAAAAAAAAAAAAAAAAAAAAAAAAAAAGGCCGGGCGCGGTGGCTCACGCCTGTAATCCCAGCACTTTGGGAGGCTGAGGCAGGCGGATCACGAGGTCAGGAGATCGAGACCATCCTGGCTAACATGGCGAAACCCCGTCTCTACTAAAAATACAAAAAATTAGCCGGGCTTGGTGGCAGGCGCCTATAGTCCCAGCTACTCGGGAGGCTGAGGCTAGAGAATGGCGTGAACCTGGGAGGCGGAGCTTGCAGTGAGCCGAGATCGTGCCACTGCACTCTAGCCTGGGCGACAGAGCGAGACTCCGTCTCAAAAAAAAAAGAAATGTCATTCTAATTCTTCCAGCCATTGACCATCTTCGTCTAGTTTCCCAATACACATCAATCAGTGAGAAGTCATGGTTCTGTAGCCACAGGAAGTTCCGCATTATCAGGTTGGAAGTCTGCCCTTCTCAAGAAAGTGATCTGACTTGTAACAACAAAACCATCTTCTCACACTAATCAATACATTTTATTTTCCACAATTTTTAAAAAAATAATTAAGAACCATGGTTATTTTTCTATGACTCTAACCCATTCTTATTTTTGAATGCCTTATGTTTTGTTAGCTAAGCTGCTCAAGTAGAAGGATGAATATTGAGAACTCTCCTAGTCAACAAAACTTCAGATCACCTCTATGCACATGTTGAACTTTAATTATTGTGGTTTTGTCATGGTGTATAAATACATTAAATTGAGTTATTCTAGTCCTGATCAATGGAAGCAAACAGAAATTTTTTTATATGAGCAAATAATATTCTTAATGAAACATCCACACGCCTAACTTGGCATGCTAGTGCAAACGTATTAACTTAATAGCATGCTGCAGATATGTGTACATGCATGTGTTCTATATTTCCTGACTCTTCAGTCAATCCACAGTTAAGTTAAATGAATTCCCTCTGCCTTGATTATATTATGCCACGTTGAAATAATTTCATTTCTAAGACATGTTGGCAGTATTTGGGGGCCTCAAATAGCACATTCTATTTCATAGGTACAATTAACATTCACTCTGGCAGATATTACGAATTGGCACATACAATATGCATGTCAACATGCTTCTAGCAGAGGTTTCAAAGATGAAAGCTATATTTTTTACCCTCCCTTGAAGCTAGGGTTCTGGGTTGATGGAGGTTTTATCAATCAAATGCAATCATGTGGGACGGGGTTTGGAATGGATTTAAGTGGGGTAAGAAAGAGCAAGAGGCACCATTTTGCTGGTGTGGATCAGGCTGGTTCTGTTTGAGACTGCAGCACTGTGAACTCTGGAGTCAAGACCCTGAGCAAGACTCCTGATTTAACAGACGGCTTCTTGATCATGGCAGGAGCCACAGCACAATTCTGTGGGGGCTTTGAGAGTTATCTATGGAAGCTCAGCCTAGGGGCTCTTTCTTCTGCTCCCTGTCCCCAGTGATTCTGCAAGCCGTATTAAATCTTGCAAGGCATCCCTTTCTGCTTCTGCTAGCTAGAGTTGATGCTGTCCTCTCAGTGATAACCAAGATTCCCATGAAAACATTAGCCATCAGACAGAATTTAAAATTTCTTTCTTTACCCATATCACAGTTACAGTACATGTAGCTGGCGTCATTTAATGATCTGGTGACACAACAGTTTAATCTCCATCTAAATTTAGAAAATACATTATCAGAGGTTGCTAAGTTAATATAGAGATGGGGATTGCTTCTCGGCTTGGGGTTTTATGAGTAACTAGTTTACTGAGAGATCAACTGAAAAGACCCTTCTCTGATCACAGCTCCCATGTACCTGAAGAAACAAAATACCTTGCATTTATGCAATGCTTTTATACTTTTAAAAGTGCTTTCATATGCATTGCTTCAATTATAGTTCACAACAATGGAAAAGCTGAAAGGAAAAGAATTATCACATCCACATTAAAAATGAAAGAACTAAACTTCAAAGAAGCTAAATAGTTTGCTCAAAGTGTGGTAGATAAAAGGTAGAGGTGGGACTAGGACGTAAGGCAACTGTCTGCTAGTCCAGTGCTATTTTTTGAGTACTTCTGTGAAGCATGTGTATGCTTAATTAAACTTTCCCTGTATATACTGTCACAGGGGCCATAACTTGCTGCCCAATAACCACTTCCTTTTCTTCTTTAGAAATAGAACCCCAGTTTTTTGTTTTTTCAGAGGCAACAGTTTACACATAATTATTTGATTACATTCCCATTCTCCCTTAAACTAGGTAGCACCTTGTGACTAAGTTCTGCTCAAGGAAATACAAGCAGAAGTATCAAATGGGACCTACTAAGAAGGCTGCTAAAAAGAGGCCAACTCAGCTGCAAAAAGAATGCTTTTATCCTTCTGGGGTTTCTCCTTCCTGCTGCTTGGAATGCAGATGTGATGGCAAGAGCTCAATCAGCCATACTGACTCATGAGGCAACTTAAAGACAAATGTCACCAGTTAAGGATGGATAGCAGAAAGAAGGAAACTGGGTCGGTGACTTTACAGAGATATCATAATACTCTTGGACGTCTTACATCAGGCTTTTTATTTTTGCATAAGAGAAAATAAATATACATCTTGTTAAGCTACTGTGATTTAGAGTTTCCAATTACATGCAGCAGATCTTAATCCTAACTGATACACATAATTTTCCTAAATTATTTCTATTTTAAGGTTATGCATTTTAAAATAAATGCTTTCACCAATGAGTAATCAGAGAATGCAGTGATTAGCTCAAGATAATAGCAGTCCCAAGACACAGTCAACCTCTGGATATACTATTAGATCCACATTAAATTTTGAAGAGTAGAAGCTAGATTCTTCTGTATACATATTTCAGAATAAAGACTAAAGTTGTGTCAGTGTTTTACATATTAAATATTACTAAGTATCCCCCTAAAACTGAGTACAGAGTGAGCAACATAGTAATGAGCAACATAGTAACCTTGTGCAGAAATCATATGAGTAGTTACGTGGCATGGTCCATGGAAACACTCCAGTCTACCTGGGCTCATGCCTGATATACTATGGATAGAAGCACCATTGGCCATTGGCCCCTGGGACCTGCTCACACTTCTGGCTATGGGTTGGCTAGTTTTCTTTACATTCCAAGATTTCTGATTCAGGAATCTGTTTTCAATTTCTCTAAAAATTCCCCATAAACATTAAGCTCTGTTAGATTGAGGAATAGTCATCCTTGCTGAAAGCTGGAAGGGCAGATGAGGCTCTCTCTTTCTTTCATAGGATTCCCTGGATCAGAGTTTGACTTGGAGACTGCATTTGACCAGAGTTCCCTTGCTCCACACACCTTTATGCCAACTTTTTAGGGGTTCTTTTTTTTTGGAGACAGAGTCTCACTCTGTTGCCCAGGCTGAAGTGCAGTGGCATGAACTCAGCTTACTGCAACCTCCACCTCCCCGGTTCAAGCAATTCTCCTGCCTCAGCCTCCCGAGTAGCTGGGATTACAGGCACATGCCGCCACACCTGGCTAAATTTTTGTATTTTAGTAGAGACGGGGTTTCACTGTGTTGCCCAGGCTGGTCTTGAACTCCTGAGCTCAGGCAATACACCCGCCTCAGCCTCCCAAAGTGCTAGGATTACAGGCGTGAGCCACCACACCTGGCCTCTTTAGGGGTTCTTAACCTATTTTGTTCCATGTACCGCTTTGGCTGTCTGGTGGACCCCTTTCTGAAAATGTTTTTAAATCTATAAGACAGAAGATAGCAAACCGATTATATTGAAATACAGTTATCAAAATATTTGAATTTAATTTTGTTAATATGTCTCTTTATTAAGATACCACATTTCAAGATGTCACAGTACATCTAATAATTACCACAATCTTAGAGAGGAGGATAAATAATATTTTGAGATATCAGTAACCACTCTAATGTAAAAGGAAAATACATGTGATTTCTATTAGAGACTGAATCACAGCTAAAGTTAATTCTGTCGTGGTTTGTGTCCTACATTCACAATGGAAAAAAATACTAAATTTCAGATAGAGATTATGAAAATAAATATGAGATTTTTTTTCCATCAGATTCATGGGCCCCTCAAGTCCAAGCACAGATGCGTTGGGAATCTATGGATCCCAGGTTAGAACACTGCTTTAAATCATGAAAGAGTCTGCATGACTCCTGCATTCCATCAGAGACCATGTAAGAGTTCTGGTTTGCGGTATAGTTAGATACTGGCAAGATGGGTCCTCAATTTTAGCACCTTTCACAGTTCAGGAACCTGGTGAAAGCTATAATATATAGATAACTGATTCTAGTCATTGTCATCCAGAAAGGCCTGTGTTGTAAAATGTTAACTCCACTGCAAATGACAAAGGACGTTAGACTGCAGTTACTGGTCAATGCATGGATTAAAGGAAAAATGAACTATCAGTGGGCCCCTTGAGCATCTTCTTTGTAAAGAACTGAGACCCAGGAAAATAGCTATGCATTTACTGTGTACATAGTATGTTTTGGCCAATCTGCAGATAAAAGACATCAGTCTCGAAGGCCTTATTTGGGACATCCCTCTCAACGATAAAATCAAATATGAAACTAAGAAAAATAATAAAAATCAAATTCCTTTGAAAGTTCTCTATAAACATTAAGCTCAAAGCTCTCCCCAAAATCCAATTTAGCAAAAGACATTTCTACAATAAAGTGGTGCTTGACAAGAACAATTTAAGGAAATAGTTCTGGTGTCTTTATTTACTATTAAAGAGACATACACAAATAAAATATGATGAAGTACTTATCACAAATAATACGTTTTGAATTATTTTCAAAGCCACAGGAGATTTTAAAAGACAACCTCAGAGTTATTCATGACAATGGACTATAACCCAGTCCTGGAGTCATTTCTGAAGCTTAACTTCAAATCAGTTTAGTGAAATTAAGAAAAATCAAAAGAAAGTCTTTCTGAATTCAAAAGATACTTATAAGTGAAGCAAAATTTGAGGGTAAAATTATCTTTTTACAAAAAGACACATTCCATTGAGACAGTTTATTATCATAAATTTTATTAGCAAATGCAGATACTGTATGACAGTTTATAAATGCATCTTGGCAATTTGTTTTTTTTTTTTTTTTTTTGAGATGGAGTCTCTGTTGCCCAGGCTGGAGTGCAATGGCGCAATCTCAGCTCACTGCAACCTCTGCTTTCCAGGTTTAAGTGATTCTCCTGTTTCAGCCTCCGAAGCAGCTAAGATTACAGGTGGCCGCCACCACATCCAGCTAATTTTTGTATTTTTAGTAGAAATGGGGTTTCAGCATGTTTACCAGGCTGGTCTTGAACTCCTGGCCTCAAGTGATCCACCCACCTTGGCCTCCCAAAGTGCTGGGATTACAGGTGTGAGCCACTGCTCCCAGCCAATTTTTTTTTTTTTTTAAGAGACAGGATCTTGCTCTGTCACCCAGGCTGGAGTGCAGTGGCACAGTCATAGTTCACTGTAAACTTGAACTCCTGGGCTCAAGCTATTCTCCTACCTCAGCCTCCCGAGAAGCTAGGAGTACAGGTGTGCACCATCACACCCAGCTAATTTTTTACTTTTAATAGAGATGGGTCTGGCTATGTTGCCCAGCTGGTCTCAAACTCCTGGGCTCAAGAGACCCTCCTGTCTCAGCCTCCCAAAGTGCTGGGATTACAGGCATGAGCCACTATGCCCGGCTGAAATTTTGAACACACAAATACACCACATAATACCAGATTTAGAGTCAGAGAAACCTATTTTAAATCTTTGCTCTGCCACATGTTTAACTGTGTGAGCATGGGCAAGTTACTTAGCCACTCTGATCTTCAATTTCCTCATCCATGGGAATAACAATTATACCTGTCTCTTATGGTTGTACTGAGAATTAAGTAAATAACTGTAAAGCACCTAGAACACTTATTGATATACATTAAGCACTTTATAATTTATCATCAAATGATTCTTGTGAGAATTAAATGTAATGTTACCTATAAAGTTCTTGGCATACTGTCTGGCATATACTTAATACTCAATAAATGGTAATTAGTATCAGAAACAGTAGAAGTATTAGTATTAGCATTTAATGATATTAGAATTTATGTTGGTATTAGCATTAATATAGTACTGCTGCACTTTGGGAGGCCAAGTGAGGAGGACTGCTTGAGTCCAGGAGCTTGAGACTAACCTGGACAACATAGCAAGACCTCATCTCTACAGAAAAATAAAACAATTAACTGAGTGTGATGGTGCATGCCTATAGTCCTAGCTATTAGGAAGGCTGAGGCAGGAGGATCACTTGAGCCCAGGAGTTCAAGGCTGCAGTGAGCTATGATTACGCCACTGCACTCTGCCTGGGAGACAGAGTGAGATCCCATCTCCAACAAAAAAGAATACACACACACACACACACACACACACACACACACACACACACAGTATTGCTGTAAGTATTGGCATTGGTATTGGTTTAGATATCAATAATGGCATTAGTATAGTATGATGTTATCATGAAATGCATGCCAAAATACGGAGTTCCTCCTCAAGATGCTGTTGCTCTGAGGAACTCCTTTCCTGCCATGTCTTAAAGAAGGTGAGGGCTGAGACCCACCCTTTCTCTGGGTATATGACGATCTTAGAAATGGACCCCAAACCAACAATTCCATGGCTATGTACAGTCATGCATGTGGGAAGAATATCTTTGAGCCAAGAACCTTTCCCTCAATCACATCTTTGATCTGGTCTCCCTGCGAGTGTAGAAAAAGGGAGTTCTCACCCTCTCCTGTTGGCAGCAAAAGAAGGAGGAATTGGAAAACTGGGATACTCTCTAAAGACCACAGAGGGTATTATGCAGCCAAGTGTCCCCACTTGGCTGGGGTAGGGGATGCTGCATGATGACCCAGGTGTTCTTTGAGGACTTCGGTATCAATGCAATGACCACAAAGTATTGGGAATAAGAACACAATGATAATCAACAGGGTGACTATAGTTAACATTAATCAATTGTACATTTCAGCTAGCTAGAAGAGAATAATTAGAATGTTCCTAGCATAAAGAAAAGAGATATATTTAAGGTGATGGATATCCCAATTACCCTGATATGATTATAGGAATGTATCAAATTATCACGTGTATCCCGAAAATATGTGCATCTAATATGTATCAATTAAAAATTCTCTAATCTTTATAAAAAGAATATAATGATCATGTCAAATACGCGAAAAGCAAAGTTATTCTATCAACATGTTCGGGGAGTTACCTCTGGCATTGACTGTTAAGGATTGGATTCTGGTAGTTTACATTTCCAGATCCAAGCAAGAAGTTGATGGAGAAAGAGGAGAATACCGGCTGATTCCTCCATTAGTAGGGGAGGAGGTGAGTGTTAATAACCCCTTGTCCCTCCTCCCTCCAAAACCACTTCTCAGGCCACCTGTGGTGGCTCACATCTGTAATCCCAGTGCTTTGGGTGGCCAAAGCATGAGAGGATCCCTTGAGGCCAGGAATTGGAAGCTGCAGTGAGCAATGATCACACTACTGCACTCTAGCCTGGGCACCAAAGTGGGACCCTGTCTCTAAGTAAACGAATGAGTGCTTTTCTTAAGTGTCTGCTTTTCAGTTAACAGTGTCTGTCTCTAAAAAAAAAAAATAATAACAACAAAAAATAGCAAAACCACTTCTAAGCCCTTTATCTTTTGCCAGAAAAACACAGCTACCTAGGCCCCCTGGGTAACAGATGCCAGAGCCTTTGAAGAGGCCCTCAGAGTAGTTTCCTGCTCTTCTTAATTTTATTTTTCCTTTTCTTGGTTTGGTTGCACAAAATAATTACAATGACACTTGTTAATATGAACTACTTATCATTTATGCCTTGTTATCATGCAGTACAATAATAATTACAGCTATCATTAAATGTATGTCTAACTTTATTATGTGTTATTTGATTAGAACTCTAAATTCTGTTCACTGACATTCATATTTCATAATTTATTGCTCAAGTGGCATGATCGTTCACTCATAACTTTTTTAAAATTAAGAGAAGCATTAATTAAGAGGCCAGGTTCTAGTCCCAACCTGATTATAATTAGCTGTGTGATTTGGGGCAATTCACTTAGTCTTTTTGAGTCTCAGTTTCTTCAGATATAAGATGAAGTGATTGAGTTAGAAGGCCATGCATCTCTAAAATTCCACAGTGTTATAATTACACTATTATTGAGCATTCTTTAACGTTATTAAGGCCCATTTTAACCTTATACAACTTCAAAAAAACTACTATAAAAGCTGATTATGCTTTGTTCACTCAGCACCATATCCGTCCTAAGCATCATTCCCGGCATTTCAAAAACAGTCCCATTTACTCTTCTTAACAAACCTATGAAGTAGATACAATTGTCCATAAGAAAACTGTGGCTTAGAGCTCCCTAACTCAGCGATGCTGGAATCCAGATAGCTGCACTCTACTCGATTCCAAAGTCTGTGTACTTCAAACTACGTTGCGATGCCCCTAAAGCAATTCTGAATGACGTAATTGAGTTAAGAGTGATGTCAACCTGCCCCACATTTGAAATACACCTTACGGTGTGTGTGTATTTTTCATCCTCCCTCCCCTCCTTCTGTTTCTCCTGCTTCTCTTCCTTCTTCTTTAGCTAAATTTCCTTACAATTTGATTTTTAATTATCTGCTTCTTTCTCATAAAATAAAAATTTAGAGTGGCTACAAATATTTCTGTTACTAGAATTAATTGGTTGTTGGAATACCCAATAAATTCAAATTTTTTGATTTGTCCTGTATGTTAAAATATCCTATAATGACTTATAATCTGTATGCAGACAGAGAACTCAGTATAGTGTGGTACATGGGCTTAAGAGCTAGACAAATGGTGCATCTCTGTGGTCCCAGCTACCTGGGAGGCTGAGGCAGGAGGATTGCTTGAGCTCAGGAGTTGGAGACAGCTTGAGCAACGCAGTAAAATCCTATCTCTAAAAACGAAAAACAAAAAAGAAAAAGAAAGTTCAAATACTAGGGCTTTTCTGCTGGTGAAGAGCTCTGTGGCTTGGCGGTTAGTTACTGAACTTTTCTGGTTAAATTTACTCAGCAGGTAAATAGATGCAATAGTGCCTTCCTTAAAGAGAAAAATAATAAGTCCTGAAGGTAAGCAACGATATCAACAACAGGGGCCGGGTGTGGTGGCTCATGCCTATAATCCCAGCACTTTGGGAGGCCAAGGTAGGCGGATCATTTGAGGTCAGGAGTTTGAGATCAGTCTGGCCAACGTGGTGAAACTCTGTCTCTATTAAAAATACAAAAATTAGCTGGGTGTGGTGGTACAAGCCTGTAGTCCCAGCTACTAGGGAGGCTGAGGTGGGAGGATTGCTTGAACCTGGGAGACGGAGGTTGCAGTGAGCCGAGATTTCGCCACGGCACTCCAGCCTGGGCAGCAGAGTGAGACTCTGTCTCAAAAAAAAAAAAGATATCTACAACAATCAGAGCTGACATTTATTCATTAAGAACCAGGCAGTGTAGGCCGGACGTGGTGGCTCACGCCTGTAATCCCAGCACTTTGGGAGGCTGAGGCAGGCGGATCACCTGAGGTCAGGAGTTCGAGACCAGCCTGACCAACATGGAGAAACCCCATCTCTACTAAAAATACAAAATTAGCCGGGTGTGGTGGCGCATGCCTGTAATCCCAGCTACTCGGGAGGCTGAGGCAGGAGAATCACTTGAACCCAGGAGGCAGAGGTTGCGGTGAGCCAAGATAGTGCAATTGCACTCCAGCCGGGGCAACAAGAGCGAAACTCGGCCAGGCGCGTTGGCTCACGCCTGTAATCCCAGCACTTTGGGAGGCCGAGGCGGGTGGATCACAAGGTCAGGAGATCGAGACTATCCTGGCTAACACGGTGAAACCCCGTCTCTACTAAAAGTACAAAAAAAAAATTAGCCGGGCGCAATGGCAGGCACCTGTAGTCCCAGCTACTCAGGAGGCTGAGGCAGAATGGCATGAACCCGGGAGGCAGAGCTTGCAGTGAGCCGAGATATCTCACCACTGCACTCCAGCCTGGGTGACAGAGCGAGACTCTGTCTCAAAAAAAAAAAAAAGAGCAAAACTCTGTCTCAAAAAACAACAACAAAAAAAGAAATCAGGTAGTGTGCCAAATATTTTATTGTATTATCTAATAAATCCTCACAACTACATATAAACTGAGTCTTAGTTTATATAAGCTGAGTCATATATTCTACATATAAACTGAGTTATTGGTCCCATTTTTTACAAACAGATGACAAAACTAAGACACAGCATAATTAAGTCACTTGCCCAGGTCATGCGGGTAGAGAGTGGCAGGGCCCAGATTTCCACCTAGGCAGTCTATCTTCAGGACCTAAACTCAAAGAATGGCATCTGACACAGAAGCAAACTTCAATAAAAATTTATTTCCTTCACTTTTATAAATGTTTTAAGAGATTTGCAATAAGAAACTGGTTAACACATTGTTTACTGAGGTGAACTTGATTTCCAACCTTAAAAGTTATATACATTTTGTAGGGAATATTGTATCCGAATGTTAGAAAGTATAGAATGACCCACTTCAAGTAAAAAAGCTTTAAATAAGGTCTGTTTTAAATAGCATGCCCTAGAGTATTCACCACAAAATTGCCAACAATTTATCAAGTGGGCTATGAGTGTGTGTGTGAGTGTGTGTGTATATGAGAGAGACAGACAGAGAGAGCATCTCACCCACTGATTTGTTCTTCTGACATTTGGTAAATAAACTCTTGCTGTTGCCTTTGTCTTTTATACCAAATAATTAAATAATTTAGTTTGAAATGAATTCTTGAGCTTGAAAGCCATCAGGGTTAGTCACATTTTTAGGGGAAAATATTTAGGCATCTGAGACCCTTATTAGATTTCTAATTTTTTTCTTTTTATTGAGACAGAGTCTCGCTCTGTTACCCAGGCTGGAGTGCGGTGCTCGATCTCAGCTCACTGCAGACTCCACCTCCCACATTCAAGTGATTCTCCTGCCTCAGCCTCCCAAGTAGCTGGTATTACAGACATGTGCCACCACACTTGGCTAATTTTTTGTATTTTTAGTGGAGACAGGGTTCGCCATGTGGGCCAAGCGGGTCTCAAACCCCTGACCTCAAGTGATCCACCCAGCTTGGCCTCCCAAAGTGCTGGGATTACAGGCGTGAGCCATCGCATCCGTCCAAGATTTCTAATTTTTTTGTTACTTGATTTATGTCAAGTGATATTAATCCCACAAAGGGGGAAAAAAAGAAAGATAGGAAAGGGAAGGGAGGAAAAGGAAAGGAAGTGAGGAGGGAGAGAGAGGGTAGAGAGGTAGAGAAGAGAAGGACTTGAAAAGGAGAGGAAGAAGGAAAAAAGCTTCAAGCTAAGGCAAAAGGATCTAGCCATATATATCCAAGACAATAAGGAGAATATCTGTCTTAGAGATGTCTATTAAATACTTTAAAGATAAAAAGAAATGAAACACCTTACTGAGACAAGAACACAGTGTTCATCTATTTATTATATATATTAAAATTCATGTCAATATTCTGTAGCTCTGAGGATGAAAGAACAAACCAATCTATTCCTGCAAATGAGAAGGGAAAGTAAGTTGTCTTATGGAAATAAAACGCATTGCTTCAGTAGGAATTGGGGAGGAAGTCTGCAGGCTTGTGGATGCGGAACACTGGACAAGCAATGTTATTAATATGTGATGGCGCAAGTAGTAGGGCAAAGGGTGCTCCTTCTAGTCAGAAATCACTGGTTCTCGGCTTTGGCTCAGCCCTGCTATTTAAGTTTCTATGTGCTTCAGGAAAAATTATTCTTTTAATTCAATATAAATGATGATACAACCACAATTAGGCTACATTGTGCATTTAAGATTCTTAATTAGGCCAGTCACAGTGGCTCAGGCCTGTAATCCCAGCACTTTAGGAGGCCTAGGTAGGAGGATCCCTTGAGCCCAGGAGTTTGTGACCAGCCTGGGCAACATAGGAAGACCTCTATCTCTACAAAAAAAAAAAAAAATCAAAAATTAGCTGGTCAAGTTTGTTCAAGTGTTGTATCAAAAAAATAAAATAAAATTTAAAAAAATGTTTTAATTAAAAGATTAGCTGGATGTACACACCTATACTCTTAGCTGATAGCACAAGCCTATAGTCTCAGCTTCTCAGGAGGCTGAGGTGGGAAGATTGCTTGAGCCTGGGAGGTTGAGACTGCCGTGAGCCATGATCACACCACTGCACTCCAGCCCAAGTGACAGAGCAGGACCTGTCTCAAAAATAAAATAATTAATTTAGGAAAACAATGCAAATAAAATATCAGCCACATAATTTCTTTCCATTTCTATTTGACTTTGTCATCAGTATATCCAAGACGAATTGAGGCTAAACATATATATTTCAAGTATGGTAATTTGCTCTATGTTTGAGGCAAATAAGAAAAGATGCAGGCCAGGCACGATGGCTCATGCCTATAATCCCAGCACTTTGGGAGGCTGAGGCAGGCAGATCACTTGAGGTCAGGAGTTTGAGACCAGCCTAGACAACATGGCAAAATCCCATCTGTACTAAAAATACAAAAGTTAGCTGGGTGTGGTGGCACACACCTGTAGTCCCAGCTACTTGGGAGGATAAGGTGGGTGAATCATTTGAACCCGGGAGGCAGAGGTTGCAGTGAGCCGAGACCACACCACTGCACTCCAGCCTGGGTGACGGAGACTCATCTCAAACAAAAAAAACACAAATAATAATTTTTTAAAAAGAAGAGATGTAGATAGTGAATTCCTTGCTAATTGGTCCTTTCTCTTGGAGTTATTCCTCATGTTCTAGAGAAAAAGTATGTATAAAATTGTGGAAATATGGAAGTTCATCAGACTGGAGAGTGTATTAGTAGAGAACAAAATAAAAATTCTCAAAAATTACACAGGATACATTCTCAATTTCATCTTCTTGACTAAAGTTAGATACTAAAAAATTAAAATGCTAATTACAGTGGGATTCAACAGCAGGGAGGAGGAGAAAGTAACCAAAACTGATCACAATTTTATTTTCATTTAAATCACTTTGTTAATTGGGTTAGACTCCTACTGCTAAAAGGGGGAGGACTACAGAAGATTAGTTTATTTTTAGCTTGTTGCTATAAAACTCTTCTGTGCTTCTTTCAGCTCAGAGTCAAAAGAAGAGTAAATGTTTTCGAAAGTAACAGAACGTTAAGGTTGCACATTGGCATCTTTGTTCTAATGAACAGAGTGTGATTTGAAGATGGCAAACTTGGGTTTTGTACCATAACTAGCTCCAAAGCTTCTGGCTTATATAGGAGCAAGTTTTGCCTTTCCCATTGGTAATGTGTTGTGGTTGAGCTGTTAACAATACTAAAGCATATACTACATCCTTATATATATCAATTTCAAACTATTTACCTGCTCACTGTGTTTTTTTCTTCCATAAATAATGCACAAGAGAGTAAAGTATATGGAAGCCTTTTATTTTTCCATTAACATAAACAAAAAGGTGGGTGAGGTGGGTGACCCACCTACCTCAGCCTCCCAAAGTGCTGAGATTACAGACGTGAGCCACCACGCCCAGCCCTTTTGTGTTGTTCTTATTGTTCTCCTTGTCTCTATTCTGTGTGATAAGGTCCTCCAAGGTGCTGTCTATCCTTATTCCATCCTTGATTACTCCCCAGGACCAACCTTCAATGTCTTCCGCACAGTATACATTCAATAAATTTTGCTGTCATTTTTCTTTTTTTAAAAAAAAAAAGGAATTACACTACCTTACAGATAAGGAAATAGAAAAATAGCAAGACTTGTCCAAGGTCACACAGGTAGTAAAGGAGAAAGTGGCAATTTGCAATGCTGTATTATGGTCTTTGTCATTTCATTAAATGGGCCAATAAAATTATCCCCACCATTAAGTGACTTTATCAGATAACCTTAAGTGGAAGTTCCTAGATTTGGCTGGCTACACATGTGACCTCAGGCCATTCATTGTAAAGCCACAAATCTCATAGTCTCCGAGGTCACTAAGAGCTTTATTTCCTTGCCAGGAGCGGTGGCTCACACCTGTAATCCCAGCACTTTGGGAGGCCGAGGCGGGGGGATCACGAGGTCAGGAGATCGCGACCATCCTGGCTAACACGGTGAAACCCCGTCTCTACTAAAAAAAAAAAAAAAAAAAAAAATACAAAAAATACAAAAAATTAGCCAGGCTCCGTGCGGGCGCCTGTAGTCCCACCTACTCGGGAGGCTGAGGCAGGAGAATGGCGTGAACCCGGGAGGCGGAGCTTGCAGTGAGCCAAGATCGCTCCACTGCACTCCAGCCTGGGCAAAAGAGCGAGCCTCCGTCTCAAAAAAAAAAAAAAAGAAAGAAAAGAAAAGCTTTTTTTCCGTTTTCACTAGAAATGATCAGCACAGGGATTTACTATTTACTCAGATTTGCTTCGAGCATGATGTCAGTTGTCACAAGGTGGATGGGGCTGGGCTGCTCTAACCAGTATTTGGTGGAAGACTTCCAAAAAGTCCAGGTAATGCAGGAACTGGCAGGTGAGTCACTGTTAGTAGCCCGCACTAGGAAAGAGACCAAGCTGGAGTAACATGATCCCAGGGAATTGCAAAACAAGCCAAATTTGGCTTTTTCTCTCATCTACTCTTCTCTGTGCTGCCTCCCTGGTCCTGCTCCTCAAACTGCAGACCTGGTCATTACCATTCTTAGCTTCCTCATGCTCAAACTCTCTCTCCTGATTCTTCAGGCCCAGATATTAAGCTGATATTAAAAATTAAAACAAAAAAGGTCTTATTCTTGGCAAGTCAATTTCTTCTTTGCTAGGTAACATACATTCATTTCACTTTATTTATTTATTCATTTGAGACAGGGTCTTTCTTTGCCACCCAGGCTGGAGTGCAGTGGCACAATCACAGCTCACTGCAGCCTCAACCTCTTGGGCTCAAGTGATCCTATGGCCTCAGCCTTCCAACTGGCTGGGACTACAAGGACACATCAACATGCCTGGCTAAATTTTTATTTTTTGTAGAAATGGGTTCTCTCTCTTGCCCAGGCTGGTTTTGAACTCCCAGGCTCTAGCAATCCTCCCACCTTAGCCTCCCTAAGTGCTGGGATTACAGCCTCACTTCCCTATAGGCTTTAGAGCTAATGCCCCTGTTTTAATTCCCTAATCCAAAAATACCAAATACAGTTCATCTCCTGTTAATTCCAACCGATTGGTAGTGGGCCCTAGAATGGTGAGCTGATAAGGATTCTGAGGCCATGCATGGGCTCAGTGGTAAAGATTGCTGGGGCCAGGAGCCGTGGCCCATGCCTGTAATCCCAGCACTTTGGGTGGCTGAGGCGGCTGGATCACCTGACGTCAGGAGTTCCAGACCAGCCTGGCCAACATGGTGAAATCCCATCCTTACTAAAAATACAAAAATTAGCTGGCATGGTGGCAGGTGCCTGTAATCCCAGCTACTTGGGAGGCTGAGGCAGGAGAATTGCTTAAACCTGGGAGGCGGAGGTTGCAGTGAGCAGAGGTCACGCCACTGTACTCCAGCATGGATGACAAGAGCGAAACTCTGTCTCAAAAGAAAAAAAAAAGAGTGCTGGAATGGATGAGTGGTGGTCCTCTGGGCATAGACATGTCTGCTATACATTTGTCATTTCTGACCTCATAGGAAGTGCTTGCAATGGTAGGAATCTCCCAGACAGGCAGAAGAAAAGGATCTACCATAGCAGTCCCCTATGACCGATGCAGTAAAGGAAGTCAGACTATGTGGCATTCTGCAAATTGTGTAATTTAAGAAGCTTTAAACTCTACCATGTGCAGAGATAGTTAAGGCCAAAAACGCTATACAGCGTATACAATGTTCTTATGAGGGTTTTTCATTGTTGCTGTTTTTTGAGATGGAGTCTTTTGCTCTTATTGCCCAGGCTAGAGTGCAATGGTGAGGTCTTGGCTCACTGCAACCTCTGCCTCCCGGGTTCAAACGATTCTCCTGCCTCAGCCTCCTGAGTAGCTGGGATTACAGGCATGCACCACCACGCCAAGCTAATTTTTTTTTATTTTCAGTAGAGATGGGGTTGCATCATGTTGGTCAGGCTGGTCTCGAACTCCTGACCTCAGGTGATCCACCCACCTCGGCCTCCCAAAGTGCTGGGATTACAGGAGTGAGCCACCATGCCTGGCCGAGGTTTCAACTCACTTATATTACCTAAAAAGTACTGTTCTATTTTTATATTATTTCATTGTTTTGTTCAAAAGTAAAGGTTGGAGCTATATCTTTTGTTCCTAGTTATAAATTGGCTAATTACTTACTGTCTTCTTTTCTCTGTAGAGTCCCAACTAGACACATTATTTTAAATTTCCCTTTCTAAAAACAATGTTATCTAATGTCATCACCTAGCTACTACATACCACCAAGCTGAAAATACCAGAAGAATTGAAAAGCAGCTGGGTGCAGTGGCTCATGCCTGTAATCCCAGCACTTTGGGAGGCGGAGGCGGGTGGATCACAAGGTCAGGAGATTGAGACCATCCTGGCTAACACGGTGAAACCCCGTCTCTACTAAAAAATACAAAAAATTAGCTGGGCGTGGTGGGGGGCGCCTGTAGTCCCAGCTACTCGGGAGGATGAGGCAGGAGAATGGCGTGAACCAGAAGGCGGAGCTTGCAGTGAGCCGAGATCACACCACTGCACTCCAGCCTGGGAAACAGTGAGACTCCGTCTCAAAAAAAAAAAAAAAAAAAAAAAAAAAAAACAAACAAACAAAAAAAAAACCACAAAGAATTGAAAAGCAATCTTGATTTACCATGTAGTTACAGAAATATTAAATATTTGAGAAACAAATGACATCATTTCTTGAGAAAATTAGGGTATAAAAAAGTGCTCTATTTTACAGAACTGATGTGTTTCCAAGCAAGACCAGGAGCTACATTTTCATAAAAAGACATAAAATTTGCATTTGTTTTCTATTTAGTTTGCAGTGGTGCTGGAGAGACCACTGAAAATGGCAGAACAGCTACTATTGCCAATGTTCTTGTGGCCACTGCTGAGAATTTTGTCCTTGTCGTTAAAGAGGAAGCTGCTTCCAAGACTGTTCTCTAGAGCTTGACTAAGTAACCACTGTCAGTGTATTAAAACCACATTACCAGCACAGGGGAGCTCCCTGCCTCCACTGTCAGAGCTACCACAGTCACCATGTGCTATAGTTTGGATCTGTGTCCCTGCCCACATTTCATGTCAAATTTTAATCCCCAGTGTTGGAGATGGAGCCTGGTGGGAGGTGATTGGATCACTGAGATGGTCCTTCTTGAATGGTTAGCACCATCCCTTTGGTGCTGTTCTCATGATAGAGTTCTCGTGAGATCTGGCTGTTTAAAAGTGTGTGGCACCTCCCCTCTCTCGCTCTTGGTCCTGCACCTGCCATGTAAGATGCCTGCTCCCACTTTGCCCTCTGGCACCATGATTGTAAGTTTCTTGAGGCCTCCCCAGAAGGAGATGCTTCATTGCTTCCTGTATAGCCTGTGGGACCATGAGCCAATTAAACCTCTTTTCATTACAAATTAACCAGTCTCAGGTATTTCTTTTTTTTTTCTTTTTTTTTTTTTTTTTTGAGACGGAGTCTCACTCTTGTCCCCCAGGCTGGAATGCAGTGGCGCAATCTCAGCTCACTGCAACCTACCCCTCCCAGGTTCAAGTGATTCTCCTGCCTCAGTCTCCCAAGTAGCTAGGATTACAGGTGCCTGCCACCACACCCAGCTAATTTTTGTATTTTTAGTAGAGATGGGGTTTTACCATGTTGGCCAGGCTAGTCTTGAAGTCCTGACCTCAGGTGATCCACCCACCTTGGCCTCCCAAAGTGCTGGGATTACAGGCGTGAGCCACCACACCCGGCTTTTTTTTTTTTTCTTTTTTTTTTAGGCATAGTTTCACTCTTGTCATCCAGGCTGGAGTGCAATGGTGTGATCATGGCTCACTCCAACATCTGCCTCCCAGGTTCAAGTGATTCTCCTACCTCAACCTCCCAAGTAGCTAGGATTACAGGCATGCACCATCATGCCCAGCTAATTTTTGTATTTTTAGTAGAGACGGGGTTTTGCCATGTTGGCCAGGCTGGTCTTGAACTCTTGACCTCAGGTGATCCACCCACCTTAGCCTCTCAAAGTGCTGGGATTACAGGCATGAGCCACTGTGCCCAGCTCAAGTATTTTTTTTTTAAAGCCTCACTTTGTTACCAGGCTGGAGTGCAGTGGTGCCATCTCAACTCACTGGAGCCTCCACCTCCCGGGTTCAAGTGATTCTCCTGCCTCAGCCTCCCAGGTAGTTAGGACTACAGGTGCATGCCACCATGTCCAGCTAATTTTTGTATTTTTAGTAAAGATGGGGTTTCACCATGTTGACCAGGATGGTCTCGATCTCTTGACCTCATGATCCACCCGCCTCAGCCTCCCAAAGTGCTGGGATTACAGGCGTGAGCCACCATGCCTGGCCCAGCTCAAGGATTTCCTTATAGCAATGTGAGAATGGACTAATACAGAAAAGTGGTACTGAGGAGTAGGGCATTGCTATAAAGATAACTAAAAATGTGGAAATGGCTTTGGGACTGGGTAATGGGAAGAGGTTGGAAGAGTGTGGAGGGCTCAGAAGAAGACAGGGAGGTGAGGGAAAGTTTGGAACTTACTAGAGACTTGTTGAATGATTGTGACCAAAATGCTGATGGTGATATGAACAGAGATGGCCAAGCTGATGAGTTCATGAGTTCTCAGATGGAGATGAGGAACTTATTGGGAACTGGGGCAAAGGTCACTTTTGTTACACCGTGGCAAAGAGCTTGGTTGGATTGTGCCCCCGTCTAGGGATCTGTGGAACATTGAACTTGAGAGTGATGACTTAGAGTATCAGACAGAAGAAATTCCTAAGAAGCAAAGTGTTCAAGATATGGCCTGGCTGCTTCTAACAACCTATGCTCATGTGCATAAGCAAAGAAATGACATAAACTCAAAGTTACATTTCAAAGCAAGGCAGAGCATAAAAGTTTGAAAAATTTGCCTCTGAGCCATGTGGTAGAAAAGAAAAGCCCATTTTCAGGGGAAGAATTCAAGCCAGCTGCAGAAATTTACATAAGTAAAAAGAAGCCAAGGCCGGGCACAGTGACTCACACCTGTAATCCCAGCACTTTGGGAGGCTGAGGTGGGCAGATCACATGGTCAGGAGTTTGAGACCGGTCTGGCCAGCATGGTGAAACCCCGTCTCTACTAAAAATACAAAAAATTAGCTGGGTGTGGTGGCACATGCCTGTAGTCCCAAGCTACTTAGGAGGCTGAGGCAAGAGAATTGCTTGAACCTGGGAGACGGAGGTTGCAGTGAGCTGGGATTGTGCCACTGCACTCCAGCCTGGGTAACAGAGCGAGAGAGACCTTCACTGTAGCCCCTCCCATCACAGTCCCAGAGGCCTAGGAAGGAAGAATGGTTTCCATGGGCCAGGTCCAGTGCCCTGCTGCCCTGAGCAGCCTCACAGCCTCGGGACACTGCTTCCTGCATCCTGGCTGCTCCGGCTCCCACAGTGGCTAACAGGGAACCAGGTTAAGCTCACACTGCTGCTTCAGAGGGTGCAAGCCGTAAGTCTTGGTGGATTCCACATGGTGTTAAGCCTGCAGGTATACAGAATGCAAGAGTTGAGGCTTGGGAGCCTCTGCCTAGATTCCAGAGGATGTATGGAAAAGCCTGCATGTCCAGGCAGAAGCTTGCTGCAGGGGTGGACCCCTCATAGAGAACCTCTGCTAGGGAAGTGTGGAGGGAAAATGTGGTGTTGGACCTCACACACAGAGTTCCCATTGGGGCACTGCCTCACGGAGCTGTGAGAAGTGGACTGCCATCCTCCAGACCACAGAATGGTGGATCCACCAGCAGCTTGCACTGTGCACCTGGAAAAACAAGGCACCCAATGCCAACTCGTGAGTGCAGCCATGGGGGCTGAACTTTCTATTTTAAGTAGAGACGGGTCTTCACCATGTTGGCCAGGCTGGTCTCGAAGTCCTGACCTTGGGTGATCCACCCACCTCGGCCTCTCAAAGTACTGGCATCACAGGCATGAGCCACTGGCTCAGGTATTACTTTATAAAAACGTGAAAATGGACTAATATAGAAAAGTGGTACTGAGGAGTAGGGCACAAAGCCTTGGGCATAGCTGTCAAGGCTTTAGCAGCCCACCCCTTGTACCACTGTGCTCTTCATGTGAGACATGGAGTCAAAAGAGATTATTTTGGAGCTTTAAGATTTAATGACTGCCCTGTTGCGTTTTGGGCTTGCCTGGTGCCTGTAGCCCCTTTCTTTTGACTGATTTATCCCTTTTGGAATGGGAGTATTTACCCAATACCTATATCTGCATTGTATCTTGAAGGTAACTAACTTGTTTTTTATTTTACAGTTTCATAGGCAGAAGGGACTTGCCTTGTCTCAGATGAAACTTTGGACTTTTGAGTTAATGCTGAAATGAGTTAAAATTAGGGGACTGTTGGGAAGGCATGATTATATTTTGCAATATGAGAAGGACATGAGATTTGGGAATGGCCAGGGGTGGAATGATATGGTTTGACTCTGCATCCATATCCACAGGCAAGTCTCATGTCAAATTGTAATCCCCAGTGTTGGAGGTGGAGCCTGGTGGGAGGTGGCTGGACCATGGAGATGGTCCTTCCTGAATGGTTTAGCACCATACTTTTGGTGCTGTTCTCATGATAGAGTTCTCATGAGATCTGGCTGTTTACAAGTTTGGGGCACCTCCTCTCTTTCTCTCTCTCTCTCTCTTGTTGCTGCTCTTATCATGTAAGATGCCTGCTCCCACTTTGCCTTCTGCCATGATTGTAAGTTTCTTGAGGCTTCCCCAGAAGCAGATGCTGCCATGCTTCCTGTACAGCCTGTGGAACCATGAGCCAATTAAACCTCTTTTCTTTATGGATTCCCCAGTCTCAGGTATTTCCTTTATAGCAATGTGAGAGCAAACTAATCACCATGTCACCTGAGATGTCACCCGTATAGCCACTAGAGGAGCCAAGGCCAGCACAAGAAAACTTGGAAAGTAGAAAAATGTGTCTTCACTACTGACCTGTATTATCTAAAAAAAAGACTAATTTCTGTGAGAGTGGAAACCATGTCATTCTTACTCACTGTTGCATCCTTAATTTGGATATGTATAGTATATGCAAGAATGCAAGAGTTGGGATTACAATTTGACATGAGATTTGGTCATGTATGTGTATTGCACGAATGCAAGAGTTGAGGCTTCGAAGTCTCATAGTACATAGCAGGTACTCAAGAAACCATTGTTGAATGTGTAGATGATAGATGCATAGCTGGATAGCTAGATACGTAAACAAATGGATGTTGTTCCCTCCACGTGCCTTATGTTAACATGTTGGCGTAAAACAAACAACAAACCTCCAGATGGCTGCATTCAAGGGGAACATCTGATAGTTTGACACAGGAAGTAACTATCAAGTGAATGAAATTTTTTTTTTTAGTAACAGGAGAAGCCTTTTTGATGTGGCGCTCAACCTGAAAGTTGTTTTCTTCCTGTCAGGGTTAGGGTAGTATGGCACTTTGAAGACAGAGAAAATAAATTCCTGGGTATTAGCTGGCAGCTCTAGAAATCAGCACTGGTGAATTTTCCTTGGAGAATGGTTTCTCACATTTCAGTAAAATTTGGATCTGCCCAGTATCAAATAGAAAGGGAATAGCTAGACCTATACAAACACAGTTCATAAAGAATCTCAACCTAAAGTCTCAGGGTAGAGATGAGGGGTTGAACCACAGGGTTCAGCCCCCGCAGCTGCTCTCATAGGTTGGCACTGGGTGCCTGTGGCTTTTCCAGATGCATTTTTTTTAAATATCAGTAAACACTGGAACCTAAAGTCTCATTATGAAATCACGTTAGACTCCATTGTCTATACATGATTTAGCAACCCTGATAAAGTTAGTACTCTAGGATGGATAAGTGAGATGGGAGATGGGGTGGAACTGGGTATAAAACATTTTGAAGCAAAAACAAAGTTTCAGCAAATAGTGTTGAACTAAAAGAGTTCTTTCATAAGTGTTTTTAGCTATAGTTTTTACTGGTATGTCAGACTGAAATATAGGACAGAAGCAGCTTTCTTGAGGTATAATTTACATACCATAAAATTCACCTGTTAAGTGTACACCTCAGTGATTTTAGTAAGTTTATGCAGTTGTGCAACCACCACTACAATCCAATTTTCAAACATTTCTATTACCCCCAAAATTTCTCTTGCACACATTTGCAGTCAATTCCCAGTCTCATCCTAAGCCCCAGGGAATTACTATTCTGCTTTTTGTCTCTGTGGATTTAAATTTTCTAGAAATTTCACATAAATAGAATCATGCAAGATATAGTCTTTTGTGTCTGTCTCCTTTTGTTTCTCATACTGTTTTTGAAGTTCACCTGTGTGAACAAACTACTGATGTGTGTGTATATATACATATGTATATAGATGTGTGTGTATATATATAGATGTGTGTATATACATATATATATAGATGTGTGTATATACATATATAAACAGCTTTTTTTTTGTTGTTGTTGTTTTTAAGACGGAGTTTTCTCTTGTTGCCCAGGCTGGAGTGCAATGGCACGATCTTGGCTCAATGCAACCTCTGCCTCCTGGGTTCAAGCAATTCTCCTGCCTCAGCCTCCCAAATAGCTGGGATTACAGATGCCTGCCACCTTGCCTGGCTAATTTTTGTATTTTTAGTAGAGACAGGATTTCACCATGTTGGCCAGGCTGGTCTCGAACTCCTGACCTCAGGTGATCAGCCCGCCTCGGCCTCTCAAAGTGCTGGGATTACAGCCATGAGCCACCGTGCCCGGCCTTTTAGCTATTTTAAATAATGCTTTTATAAACATTTTTATACAAGTCTTAGCATGAGTATATATACATTTCTTTATTTTCTCAGGTAGACCTGTAGGAAATAAATTGCTGGGTCACATGCTAAATTTATGTTTAACTTTTTAAGATATTGCCAAAGTGGCTGCACCTTTTCACATTCTTGTGGTAATGTGCATTCCAGTTCCTCCATACACATGCATTCCAGTTTCTCCACATCTCCTATATTGCTATAGTCAGTCGAACAGTGGTATTTCATTATGACTTTTAATTTGCATTTCCCAAACCAAAGATGTTGAGGATCTTTTCATATGTTCATTAGCCATTCATATAGCTTTTTTGTGTGAAATATCTGTCAAATCTTCTGCCCTTTTGTTAATAGGGTAATTTGTCTTCTTATTAGTTATAAGTGGTATTTTTTACTCTTGATACAAGTGTTTCATCAGATATATGATTTGCAAATATCTTCTTTTAGTCTGTAGCTTGTTTTGTTTTTTGTTATTGTTGTTCGTTTTTTGTTTGTTTTGTTTTTTTAAGACAGAATCTTGCTCTGTCCCCCAGGCTGGAGTGCAGTGGCTCAATCTCGGCTCACTGCAACCTCTTCCTCCCAGCTTCAAGCAATTCTTGTGTCTCAGCCTCCTAGGTAGTTAGGATTACCACCACACCTGGGTAATTTTTTGTATTTTTGGTAGAGACAAGGTTTCGCCATGTTGGTCAAGCTGGTCTCGAATTCCTGGCCTTGAGTGACCCATCCACCTCAGCCTTCCAAAGTGCTGGGATTACAGGTGTGAGCCACCATGCCTGGCCATCTTTTCCTTCTGTTGTTGAGATGGAGTCTCACTCTGGTGCCTAGGCTGGAGTGCAATGACGCTATCTCAGCTCACTGCAACCTCTGCCTCCCGGGTTCAAGTGATTCTCCTGCCCCAGCCTCCCGAGTGGCTGGTATCACAGGTCCACACCACCACATCCAGCTAATTTTTGTATTTTTTTTTTTTAAATAGAGATAGGGTTTCACCACAAGTGATCTGCCTGCTTCAGCCTCCCAAAGTGCTGGGATTACAGGCATGAACCACAGCCCCTGGCCTTGTTTTTTTATTCTCTTAATTGTACCTTTTGAAGAGCAAAGGTTTTTAATTTTGATGAATTCACATTTATCAGCTTTTCTTTTATAAATTTTGCTTTTGGTGTTGTAACCCTTTTTGTTCTTGTTCTTTTTCTTTTTTTGCTTTATGTTTTTTCTTAATAGTTTTATATCCTCATTTTTTTATTTCTTGCATCTATATTTATGCCTAAGTTAAACTAAATCCACATTTCAAAACAAAATGTTTATCTGATTGTTCCCCTCTTTCATAAAATTACTTGTAAAAAGAGCCTCACTGGGTATTTTTTAAGTGAGGTGGACCCATTTAATGGTTTCAGTAAATATTATGTTGCCCCATAGGCCAAGATAATAATAGCTATTTATCAAGGGCATACTGTTTTTCAGGCACTGTTTTAAACTCTTTGCTGGTATTAATTCATTTCGTTCTTTTTTTTTTTTTTTTTTTTTTTTTTGAGATGGCGTCAGGCTCTGTTGTCCAGGCTGGAGTGCAGTGGTGCGATCTCAGCTCACTGCAACCTCCGCCTCCTAAGTTCAAGTGATTTCCTGCCTCAACTTCCCGAGTAGCTGGGATTACAGGTGCATGCCACCATGCCCAGCTAATTTTTGTATTTTTAGTAGAGACAGGGTTTCACCATGCTGGCCAGGCTGGTCTCAAACTCCTACTTCGTGATCCAACCACCTCCGCCTCCCAAAGTACTAGGATTACAGGCATGGGCCACTGCACCCGGCATAATTCATTTAGTTCTAATGCTCTCAGGTAGTAGGTACTATTATTATCACTACTCTAGAGGTATGCAAACAGATACACAAAATACTTCAGTAGATTGCCCAGGAATTAGCAGAGCTGGTATTTGAACTCAGGCAATCTAGCTCTAAAGTATGCATACTCTTAACCACTATGCTAGACTATGCCAAAGCAATTTCCCCTACAAAATAACTCCCCAGAGAAGATCTGTTTCTGTGAAGGTATGTGGCGGGTGTCCCGTAGTGTCACCCCAGCCCCTCTTCTCCGAAACTGCCTAGTTTGCCCACAAGGAAGGTTCCTGTTTCTTTTGTGTGAACTTCCCATGGGACCTAACCCTGCCCCTCCCCAAAACACAGCCATTGCTGAGTAAGCCAAGAGTGAACAATAATCTAAGCTGAACATATCATATTCTCATTCTTACTTGAGGTTTGAGAAACACTGGGATTGGAAATCAAGTCGGATCATTGGATGGTCATAGGCTGGGGCCTCCATCAACTGCCACTGCAGTCCCAGGACTTTCCTTAGTTCCATCCTTCCTGAGGCCTGGCCATTCAATAATTCCATCATTTCCTGAGATACCGCTGCATTTTTCTAATACATTCCCATTCTGTTTAAGGTAGGTCAGGTTGGTTGCTGCTTGCAACCAACCAACGGTCACTACTATAAGCAGCCATAGTTGAGGCTTATTCTCTATCATTTCAGGGTCCACAATCTGCCCCGTCACTGCTCAGGTTTCAGGACCTCCGGCCAGACCTGCTGACCTCTCTGAGCCCTAGGGCACTGAGCACTAGTGACACTCACTTGTCAAGTGTGTCTTGCCTGGGATAGTCTATCTAGGCCTTTCAGGAGACAACTGGTTTAACTGACAAACTAAACTGCTAATGAGAGAACTAGAAGAAACTCTCAGTCTCTCCTTCTTACTCTCAGGTAACATATGTATACTGTAACAGAGGATTTCTGAAGACAGTGGCACTTTTGTTTTGTAAACCAAGAATGGCTTTAATAGTGGTGATTTCGGGTCAAATAAGAGAGAAGAAATATCTCTGGGCAATAGAGGTCTCATTATGCCCCTTATGATTTATTTTCTCTAGGCAGCAGCTTCTTTCCCTTAGCAGAGCGCAGGCTAGAGAAGAAAGAGCCACCACTACATTCCATCAGAGACAGCAGTAGTTCCAAAGTGATTTCAGAACGTGCAGCAGCTCCAAAAGTGAAGCTAGCTCCTGTGATAGTAACAAGTGGCTTGTTTGAGAGAAGGAGCATGGGCTTTGAAGCCAAATCAACCTATATTCAAAATAGCTTTGAGAGAAGGAGCATGAGCTTTGAAGCCAAATCGACCTATATTCAAAATTCTGGCTCTCTGCACACACAGGCAAGTTCTGAGCCTCTTTCTTTGCCTTTAAAATAGTGTTGATAATAATGGCAACCTTGAAGGGTTGGAGGTTTCATTTGTAAAAAGCTTGACACACTGCCTCCCTTATATTATTTGAGTTTCCCCTTTTCAAAAGGCAGCAGCTCCATAGTTCTCTCTGTTGTTTCTCAAACACACAACAAAATTACTCACAAAAGGATCATACTTCTGAGTGTAAAATTGAGATACTTCATGATTATTGTTCTGTAATTACACAAGACATCAGATACTCAGTACCTGCTTTCCAGAAAGTATGATCTAGGCTACAGGAAATTTCCCTGTAGTTGTAACTATTGGATTACACAGCAAATACTACCCAACAATTGAAAAATTATCTAAAGTTTCAGAATATTTAAAAAATCACTGTTATTTTCCTTGCAATTTATTTTCCAATGGTTGAGAGAAAGCAGCTGAAAATTTTCTTTCCCAAATATAAAAGAATACTTTTATAATTATTCTAATACCTTTGTTCTTTCCATCAAACCTCACAAACACATCAGAACTTCATACTATTCATCAGTGTCTCTGGATGAGCTACCTTTGGCAGATACTAAAATCACCGCCAGGAACCATGGAATTAAGAAATCTAAGTATGGACTGAATTCCTAAAAATCCATGGGAAAATCTATCAATATAACCTTTAAAAGTGAGTCTAGATATTAATAAATGATAATAAAATCAAAGTAACTAACATTCATCGAATGCTGACTAGGGACAAGGCAGTGTGCAAAGGATTTTAAATGGATTCTTTCATTTAATCCTCACAAGCCTATAAAGCCCATACTAGTTTTAGACTCATTTTTTTCTGTGAAGAAACTCAAACTTAAGATATGGAAATAGTGTGAGTTCTCACAGCTAATAATTTATGAAGTCAGAATTTGAACCCAGGCTTTCTGACTAAAAGCCCAAGCTCTTTCTTAATCAAGACATTCCTTAAAAATTGCAGCAAAATATACATAAAATGTACCAATGGAATCATTTTTAAATGTACAGTTCTCAGTTGGGCACAGTGGCTCATGCCTGTAATCCCAGAACTTTGGGAGGTTGAGGAGGGCCGATGGTGCACACCTGTAATCCCAGCTACTCAGGAGGCTGAGGCATGAGAATCACTTGAACCCAGGAGGTAGAGGTTGCAGTGAGCTGAGATTGTGCCACTGCACTCCAGCCTGGGTAACAAAGCAAGACTCAGTCTCAAAAAAATAAAATAAATGTACAGTTCTGCAGCATTAAATACATTCATGTTGTTCTTCAACCATCACCACTATTCATCTCCAGAAATTTTTAATCTTCCCAAACTTACTCTGCACTCATTAAACACAAACTCCCCTCACCCCAGCCCCTGACCACCATTCTACTTTCTGTCTATATGAATTTTACTACTCTAGGTACCTCATATGAGTGGAATCGTACAATATTTGTCTGTTTGTGGCTGGCTTATTTCACTTAGCATAATGTCCTCAAGGTTCATCCATGTTGTAGCATGTGTCAGAATGTCCTTCCTTTTTAAGGCTAATTACTACAGCCGGCCCTCCACATCCACCAGTTCCACATCCTTAGATTCAACTAACCTCAGATTAAAAGTGTTTTTTTTGAAATTAAAAAAAAATTTTAAAACAATACAGTATAACAACTATTTGCATAGCATTCACATGGTATTATTAGATGAGATGATTTAAGAATACAAGAGGATGTGCATAGGTTATATGCAAATACTATGCCATTTTATATAAGGGACTTGAGCATCCATGGATTTTGGCATCTGCAGTGTTCCATTATATACATACCACATTTTGTTTATCCATTCATTTCTTTATCAGCACTTGGGTTGTTTCCATCTTTTGACTATAGTGAATAGTACTGCTATAAGCATGGGAGGGCAAATATCTGTTGCAGTTGGATTCAGTTGTTTTGGGTATATACCCACTAACTAAGATATTTTAGGCCAGACATGGTGGCTGATGCCTGTAATCCCAGCACTTTGGGAGGCCGAGGCAGGTGGATCACCTGAGGTCAGGAGTTCGAGACCAGCCTGGCCAGCATGGTGAAACCTGTCTCTACTAAAAATATAAAAAAATTCGCCGGGCATGGTGGTAGGTGCCTGTAATCCCAGATACTCTGGAGGCTGAGGCAGGACAACTGCTTGAACCCAGGAGAGGGAGGTTGCAGTGAGCCGACATGGTGCCACTGCACTCCAGCCTGGGCAATGGAGTGAGACTCTGTCTCAAAAAAAAAAAAAAAAAACTAAGGTATTTTAAATACCTTGCTTCTCTTTGCTATTGGCCAATTATTCTTTGCCTTTTGTTTTTTGTGGACATCTCCATTTATGAAGCATTTATAAATGTGTGAACATCTAGGGAGATTCTCATGTGTCATCTTAGGCCAGTATCATGAATAACAGTCGGAAGAGGCTGGGGTGGTTCACAGCTTGGGCAAATGTAGGTACATGAGGCAGACTGGTGAACCAGATAGAATTTTCAGACCAAATATATTTTAAACATAATTTTCCTCCCTTGGCTAACGAGTTTTTGACATGCTTTTTCAAGCATTAAGGACATGACAACCTCTGAAGAATTTAGATAAGAGACAGAAGGGGAAAGGGATCCTAGAGAAAAAAAGTTGTGGTTCTGAGTTCTACTATGAAGCAGGAAGGAAATGTGCAAACACATCAGTGATGTTAAAGTCAATCTTAAAAAAGGCAAAAGAATGTAATTTTTTTTTTTTAAGACAGAATCGTGCTCTGTTGCCCAGGCTGGAGTCCAGAGGCATAATCATGGCTCACTGCAGCCTTGACCTCCCTGTCTCAGGCCTCAGGCAATCCTTCCATGTCAGTCTCCCAGGTAACTGGGACTATAGGTGTGTGCCACTGCACCCTGCTAGTTTTTTTTTTTTTTTTTTTTTTTTTTTTTGAGATGCAGTTTTGCTCTTGTTGCCCAGGCTGGAGTGCAGTGGCACAATCTTGGCTCACCACAATCTCCGCCTCCCGGGTTCAAGCGATTCTCCTGCCTCAGCCTCCCGAGTAGCTGGGATTATAGGCGCGCGACACCGTGCCCAGCTAATTTTTGTATTTTTAGTAGAGACAGGGTTTCTCCATGTTGGTCAGGCTGGTCTTGAACTCTCGACCTCAGTTGATCCGCCCGCCTCGGCCTCCCAAAGTGCTGGGATTACAGGTGTGAGCCACCGTGCCCGGCCTAATTTTTTTTATTTAATTTTTTATAGAAAGTGGGACTTACTATGTTACCATTCAAACTCCTGGGCTTGAGCGATACTCCCACCTCATCCTCCCAAATTGTCGTGCCCAGCCAGGATGTAATTTTAAAAAGAAAAAAGAAATGGACAGAATCAGCTAGCACAGGGCACTGAAAAATACATGCCCTTAGAATGCTGCTCTGCCACTATTAAACTTTGTTATACTTTTATCAGAACCCCACTGAGTAATTGTTTTCTCAAATATATTCACCTTCAGACAAAATAGTCTGCCCACAACACACACCCGGGTATGACTCTTTTTTCTTCTTTTTGATTTGGTAAAGCATCTACCAGAACTATCCTTTGGTAGCTTTCTCCCTATTTAAACCATCCTTCATTACCCCATTATATTCTTCATTACACTGCTGTAGTCAGCACTGTAACCAGATGGAAAGGAATGACCATGAGATCCCTAGAAATGGGGACCTGGGCTTCTGCCTCAGGCTGACATTGCAGCCCCATATTTCTAAATTAGCCTCCAGCAACCTGTTTTCTAATCTGAAAATGGGAATAAAAATACCCAACTCAAAGGATTTTTGAAAGGATCAAATGAGATGAGTTCCTACTATGTAGCAGTTGCTTAATTATTAACTGCACTTCTTGTCTGGATTTTCAATCCACTTTCCATGTTTTCTTCACATAATAAAAATATGTGTGTATAGAAGAGGGTCCTTACTTTCTCAGCCTTGTATTTATATTATAGATAAAGATGTGTAATGTAAAAGCCATAGCATTTTTGCTACGGAGTACTTATGAAGGTATTGACCTGAAGTGATGTCATTTATACAAAAGCTGAAAAATAAGGAAAGACACATCACACACACAAAAAAAATACAAATGGCCATTCACTCAACAAAAGGAGGAGAGACTGTTAGAGACTAAAAGAGATTTAAGGGCTGAGCTCAGTGGCTCACACCTGTAATCCCAGAACTTTGGGAGGTTGAGGCAGGAGAATTGCTTAAGGCTAGGAGTTTGAGGCTGCGGTGAGCTGTGACTGTCCACTGCCCTCCAGCCTTGGGCTACAGAGCAAGACCTCGACTCTAAAAAAATAAAATAAAATAAATAAGAGATATTTAAGAGACACAACAATTAAATGTAATGTTTGGATTTGTTTGGACTATGAATTAAACAAACAAGCAGTAAAAAGTTATCTTTGGTACAATCAGGAAATTTTAAATATGACCTGGATATTAGATTGTGTTAAGGAATCATTTTTATGTATGTATGTATGTATTTATTTATTTATTTTTATTTATTTATTTTTTTTGAGATAGAGTCTCGCACTGTCGCCCAGGCTGGAGTGCAGTGACACAATCTCTGCTCACTGCAAGCTCCGCCTCCCGGGTTCACGCCATTCTCCTGCCTCAGCCTCCCAAGTAGCCGGGACTACGGGCACCCGCCACCATGCCCTGCTGATTTTTTGTATTTTTAGTAGAGATGGGGTTTCACCATGTTAGCCAGGATGGTCTCGATCTCCTGACCGAGTGATCCACCCGCCTTGGCCTCCCAAATAAGGAATCATTTTTAATTTTGTTACATGTGACAATGGCATCGTGGTTATATTTTTTAAATGTTCTATCTGTGGGGAATGCATACTGAATTATTTATAAGTAAAACAAAATGATGTCTTGGATTTTCTTTAAACTACTCCAACCAGAAAAATAGAGAGGATGGATGAAACAAGATTAGCAAACTGAGGTTAAATGTTGAAATGGAATGATGAGGACATGGTGATTCATTAAACTCTTCTATTTATTTATGTTCAAAATTTGCCATAAGAAAAAGTTTTTGTTTTTTTTTTTTAATTAACACTGCTATTTAGAGACTAGTTGAGAGGAAGGACAAAGTGAAAGCACATAAATAAACCAGCCAGACAATAAAAATAAAGAAAAGTAGTTAGATTTGACTGACTGACTCTGGAGTCAGTCAGAATCAATAGGATTTGCTGAAGAATTTGCTACGTGGAATAAGGTAGAGGGAAGTGGCAGATTTCTGTTTCAGGGAGCTGGTGCCATTTATTGATAGGAGGATTCCTGGAGGAAGAGCAGTCTTGAAGGAGGTCATCAAGGAAAGCTTTCCAGGAGGCAACTGGCTCTATGCATCTGGAGCTCAGCAGAGAAGTCTGAACTGCAGATAGGGATCTATGAGTTATTGGCTATTAGACAGCATGTAAAAACATGGGCAAGACTATAAAATTGCCCAGCAGAAATATATAAGGAAAAACTCCAGGATCAAATTCTGAGGGACTGCAACCCTTAAAGGACAGGAAGAGGAAGGGACAGGCCAAAGAGAAATTGAGAAGGAGCAGTCAGAGAAAGGAGGAAACCATGAGAATGTGGTGCTGTAAAAACTAAGGGAACAAAAAAACTTTTCTTTTTTAAGATGGAATTTCACTATTGTCACCCAAGCTGGAGTGCAGTGGCACAATCTCAGCTCACTGTAACCTCTGCCTCCTGGGTTCAAGCAATTCTCCTGCCTCAGCCTCCCAAGTAGCTGGGATTACAGGTGCCCGCCACCATACCTGACTATTTTTTTGTATTTTTAGTAGAGTTGGGGTTTCACCTTGTTGGCCAGGCTGGTCTCAAACTCCTGACCTCAGGTGATCTGCCTGGCTTGGCCTCCCAAAGTGCTGGGATTACTTGGCCTAAAATAGACTTTTTTTGAGCTTCCCTAATAATCAAATAGCATGTTAACGTACTCATGGTATAAACTTTATAGCATTGTTTCCATTGCAGAAATATCTTCAAATTGCAAACTACTGACAAACACAACCAATTTTTGAGAACTGTCATAAGCAAAGCAATGTGAAAGTTTAATAAACATTTGTTGAATTCTTACTATGTTTGCACAAAGCATTATTGTGCCAGAGGAAGTAGCAGAAAGCAACATATATTGATAATCCGTTAGATGATGATAGCCAGTAGTTAATAGAGTGCTTACTCTGTGGTAAGCACTATTCTATTTGTACTGTGAACTCATTTAATTCTCACAATAACCCATGACATAGGTTATATTATTGTACTCATTTTACAAATGAGAAAACTGAAGTACCCGAAGTAAATTCCTCAGGATGAGTAGAGCCTGTATTTCGACATGTGGAGTATGGCATCAGAGCTGGTCCGCTTAACCACTACTCTATATTACTTCCATTTTGACATGTGACCTATTTTAAATCCTTTTAAAAGGCCTAAATTATAAACATTGTTATGAGCATTTTAAAGACTAATAAAAAGGCCAGGCATAGTGGCTCACGCCTCGAATCCCAACATATTGGGAGGCCAAGGCAGGAGGATCACTGAAGCCCAGGAGTTTGAAACCAGGCTGGGCAGTATAGAGAGACCCCTGTCTCCACAAAAAAAATTTAAACATTTAGTGGGGCACAGTAGTGCCTGCCTGTAGTCCAGCTACTCAGGAGGCTAAAGTGGGAGGATTTCTTGAGCCGAGGAGTTTGAGGCTGCAGTTAGCTGTGATCATGCCACTGCACTCCTGGCCGACAGAGCAACACCCTGTCTTGAAATTTAAAAAAGAATAAAGATTAATAAAGAGAAACTTTCAAAGGCTAAATAACTGCCAGAGGTAAATCCACTATGATTAATTTGGAGACTCTAACCAAGATTAGAAAGACCTCCCCCTACATTTGATTCTAATCTGTAATGCCTGGCAGTATAGTAGGTACAAAGAAGTTTAAGATACAGTTTCGGTTTTTGAGGATCTCAGAATGGAAAGAAGACAAAAGCAACTTAAGTAAGGCAATGTATGATAAGTACCAAATGGAGTGGTACAAACAACAATTATTTGGAAAATTCAGAGAAGGAAGGGACCACTGGGTCTTGAAGAATGACTAAGATTTAGATAAATACAAAATAGAAGAAATTTTCTCATCTTTATAATGGGTCTTTAAAACCTACCTCTTGGAATTTGATAACTATTACTGAGATACGTGACTCATACACAGGACTTGGCCATAACTGGAACCAGAAGCTAAATACTATCCTAATAATAAAGTCCCAAGAAATGCTTGACTCGCGCATATTGGGCATATTAGCTGTTTGATTTGGGGACAGCCCAGATTCTGAAAGTATATGTGGTTTTTGAAGATTTTCTTAATTTAAAATTTCTTTTGAAAATTTCATAATAGGGTATATTTTATGAAGTTGGTTTTTCCAATAGTTTTGTGCTTTTAACACTCATTTACATGATGGCTCTGGTAATGCCATTTTCATTTTTACGGTTTTTCTCAGCTAAGACTTGAGATGGGGAAATTTTAAGTATAATCTGTTCCTTACATCACAGACCTTAGCAATGACAAAATTAGAGGGCTGTTAGATTTATTTAATGTGGTGTAGGCAGGTTTGGTGGTCAAGCCCACAACTGCTGAAACTGAGTATAGACAGAATTTGAAATATATCTTGAGACAAATAAGCAGTTATTACAGTTATTACACAGAATAGAAACATGCCAAGCTGCTTCATTTTTCTTATATATAAGTGCATGGTTTCCCCAAAACAGAAATCTTAGAGGAACACAAACTACCCTAGGAGAGTATGAGTTCTGAGTGTTTTCTCATAATAGCAATGGTCTAATATGCTCTTACCTGGTCTCCTGTGTGATTAAGTGGTAGAATTTATAAAATAACTGCATTGAGTTTGGAATGCAGTCTTTGACCAAGAAAATAGAAGGAAACTACTGAAGATGTAATTTTTTTCTTTTTCTTGCTTTCTTTTTTTTTAAAGCAGCTGTCTACAAACTAATAACTAGAGATGTAAGCCATGTATTTTTTCTCTTTTGCATCTAATAAGCAGTCTTCTTATTCTTTACAACTTCCCAACCCAGTCACACAGGGTGTTGCAAAGGTACAGAACTGTATTTATATACCATACACTATATATACATACATAGATTTATATAATACATGCATACACACACACACACATCAGAGGGAAAAGCCAGTAAGGAAGTGAAAGGATCAAATTCAATATTGTTAATTTGTGAATGAAATAATATACTAATGTTTAATGTTAAGGAACATTAATGTTACTGATAACCATGATAAACTGGAAGTTAAATGTTTACATTGATAATCATTAACTGTCAATTAGGAAAATTATAAATCTGGGTCTTTTAAAAATCCAATTTTGGATTTGCAATAAGACCGCTACTCATATGGACTTTTTAAAGTGAAACCAATGAAGCATAGATGTTATTCCTTTAAAGTAAAACTTTTGGCCAGGCACGGTGGCTCATGCCTGTAATCCCAACAGTTTGGGAGGCTGGAGGCTGAGGTGGGCGGATCACCTGAGGTCAGGAGTTTGAGACCAGCCTGGCCAATATGGTGAAACCCTGTCTCTACCAAAAATACAAAAATTAGCCAGGCGTAGTGGCGCACGCTTGTAATCCCAGCTACTTGGGAGGCTGAGGCAGGAGAATCACTTAAACCCGGGGAGGCGGAGGTTGCAGTGAACCAAGATTGTGCCACTGCACTCCAGCCTGGGAAAGAGTGAAACTCTGTCTCAAAAAAAAAAAAAAGTAAAACTTTTAAGGAAGTAAATAATATGAAAAATTAGAAATACTGTTATCAGGTTAAATAGTTAAGGACACTATTAATTCACTTTCTTTAAAAGGGGAAAAACTTGCTTTGAGCTGCTTCTTGTTCCAGAGACTGAGACATTGCTATTTTCTACACACTATTTTACAACAGTTCTGTAAGGCAGATATTATCATCCCATGTTATAGATGAGGAAACTGAGATTCAACATGATAATGGGATTTTTCCAAGACCACTAGGCTAATAAGTATAATAAGAGCTGGACTCTGATTCTCACCCCCTCTGCCATTTCACACTACCTTAGGAAAAGAAAACTCAGCAAATATATCTTAAATGCCTATTATGTGGAAAGCACCAAACTGTGTTTCTTATAAAGATAAGAAATATGATCAGCACAGTGGCTCACACCTGTAATCCCAGCATTTTGGGCATCTAAGGTGGGAGGATCACTTGAACCCAGGAGTTTAAGAGCAGCCTAAGCAATATGGTGAGACCCCTGTCTCTACAAAAAATAGAAACATTAGCCGAGTGTGGTGGCACTTGCCTGTAGTCCCAGCTACTTGGGAGGCTGAGGCAGAAGACTGATTGAGCCTGGGAGTTGGAGGCTGCAGTGAGCCATGATCACGCCACTGCACTCCAGCCTGGGCAACAGTGAGACTCTGTCTCAAAAAAAGAGGAAAGGAGAGGAAAGGAGAGGAGAGGAGAGGGGAGACGGCGGCGGGGGGGGGGGGGAGGGCAGGGGAGGGGAAGGGAGGAGAGGAGAGGAGGGAAATCCTGATCTTGTAGGAAATATACATACACACATACACATTCTGATCTGGATTTTATCTTCTAGTATAGGCAGGACCAGTTACATAATTTATGGGACCCAGTACAAAATGGAAATTCAAGCTTCTTATTTAAAAAATTATTTAAAACATCAAGATGGCCAGGCGCGGTGGCTCACTCCTGTACTCCCAGCACTTTGGGAGGCTGAGGCGGGCGGATCACTTGAGGCCAGGAGTTCGAGACCAGACTGGCCAACATGGTAAAACCCTGTCTCTACTAAAAATACAAAACATTAGCCAGGCATGGTGGTGGGCGCCTGTAATCCCAGCTACTAGGGAGGCTGAGGCAGGAGAATCGCTTGAACCCGGGAGGCAGAGGTTGCAGTGAGCCGAGATCGCACCTCTGCACTCCAGCCTGGGCAACAGAGCAAGACTCCGTCTCAAAAACAAACAAAAAATCAAGATAGTGACATTAGAGCATTAAACCAATCATGGAACCCTTCTAAGTACAGGGCTCTGTACAACTGCATGCATGAGTCATATGCCTGTGAAGCTGGCCCTGAGTACAGGGCTCAGCAAACTATGGCCTACTGGCCAAATCCAGGCCGCCCCTGTTTTTGTGCACCTATAAGCTAAGAACAATTTTGACATTTCTTTTCTTTTCTTTTTGAGACAGGGTCTTGCTCTGTCACCAGAGCTGGAGTGTAGTGGCATGATCATAGCTCACTGTAACTTCAAACTCGACTTGGGCTTAAGCCATCCTCCCACCTCAGCCTCCCAAGTAGCTGGGACAACAGGCATGTGCCACCACACCTGGCTAATTTTAAATTATTTTTGTAGAAACAAGGTCTTACTTGTTACTATGTTGCCCAGGCTGGTCTCCAGCTCTTGAGGTTCAAGTGATCCTCCCACCTCAGCCTCCCAAAGCGCTGGGATTACAGGCGTGAGCCACCACACTTAGCCGATTTTCACATTTTTAAATGGCTAAAAGAAAAAAAAAAAAAAAGAACATTTCGTGACACGTTAAAATTACTTGAAATTCAAATTTTAGTGTCCATAAATAAAGTTTTATTAGAATACAGTCAGGTCTATTCTTTATGTATTATCTATGGCTGCTTTTGTCCCACAACTGTAGAGTTGAGTGGTTGCAACAGAGACCATCTGTCTGGCCCACAAAGTCTAAAATATTTACTCTCTGGCCCTTGACAGAAAAAGTTTGCAAATCCCTATTCACAGGAAGGTCAAACACAAGTGACAAAGAAAAGCAGCAATAAAATGTTTCAGGGATTCTAAAGAGAAGAGAATACATAAGGTTAGAAGTATCAGAAAAGAAGCTCTTTTTTTTTTTTTTTTTTTTTGAGACGGAGTCTCACTCTGTAGCCCAGGCTGGGGTGCAGTGGTGCGATCTCTGCTCACTGTAACCTCCGCCTCCCGGGTCCCAGTTCAAGCAGTTCTTCTCCCTCAACCTCCCGAGTAGCTGGGATTACAGGCATGTGCCACCATGCCCAGCTAATTTTTGTATTTTTAGTAGAGATGGGGTTTCACCATGTTGGCCAGCCTGGTCTTGAACTCCTGGCCTCAAGTGATCCGCCCGCCTCTGCCTTCCAAAGTGCTGGGATTATAGGCTACCGCGCCTGGCCAAGAAGCTCATTCTTAAGAGAAAGTAGATAAACCTTGAATAATGGGCAAGGTATTTGCAGAATGAGATGGAATGGGAAGGGGCATTCCAGGCAGAGGAAATCATTCACCTATGCACAACAGAGAGATGGGGAAGCAAATTATGTGGGCCAGATGAAAAGTCCACTGTCCATTCTGACTATAAATCAGTTTTGAGTGAAAGGAAAAAGTGAGACACAGGATTTTAATTTTATTTTGGTAGAGTGGGGAGTAATTGAAGGCTCTTTGAGGAAGGGAGTGACTTGCTTGGTATGCTTTAAGATAATCATCTGGCAACAATGTATAGAATGGATCACAGCAGGAACAGACTGGAGGCCACCAGGCTGCAAAGGTCCAGGGGATGAGTTCTGCCAAACTAAATTTGGCAACTAAAAACTAAGTATGGTCTTAGTTGAAATGGAAAAGAGGAAACACAATGAAAGACCTTGTCGAATTACTATCTAATAGATATGCCAATTGATGGATTATTCAAGAAGAGCAGAGAGCTAAGTATCAGGCTTGAAGATTGGGTAATTTAAAAGATGGTGATACAATTCACAAAGGAAGAGGAAAAGAAACTGGTTTGGTTACAAAGACGATGAGTTCAGTTTGCACACATGACCAGTGCAAATTGCCAGTGGAATATCCTGGAGAAGAAGTCAAGGAAATAAATAGGAAAGAGGCTCAAACTGAAAAGTGAGTTCAGTGTTAAGAGATGCAGATTATGGTATTCTCTGCATAGTGATAACAGTTTAATACAAATAACAATGATTTCCAGTCTAATAAGAGAAACTGTGTTTTTAATTAAATAGATTATTTTACACGTTCTCTCAAACTCTAAAAATTCTAGCTTCAATTTTCTAAAACCAATTTCTTTCTGGAAAAAAAAAATCAATTGCCCAAAGGACAAAGAGTTTTTCTAAAAAAAGAAAGAAAGAAAAAGCACAGTGTTCCCAGGTAACACTTCTGTGAGCTCAAAGTTTCAGACTTTCAGTTATCAAATTTTTATGCAATAACTGAAAAGTTAGTAAAGTCAAATTTATTTGTAATTCACTCATTCATTGAGAAGTTACAGTAATTCCAACGGACTGCTCTGAAATTTGCCTTTGAAACTTTTATTTAAAAAGGTTTTCTAAAGAATGGATGTTAAGTGTTCTCATAAAAAAATGCTAACTCAAGGCCAGGCGCGGTGGCTCACGCATGTAATCCCAGCACTTCGGGAGGCCCAGGCGGGCGGATCACCTGAGGTCGGGAGTTCCAGACCAGCCTGACCAACATGGAGAAACCCCGTCTCTACTAAAAATACAAAATTAGCCGGGCGTGGTGGCGCATGCCTGTAATCCCAGCTAGTCGGGAGGCTGAGGCAGGAGAATCGCTTGAACCCGAGGGTGGGAGGTGGGGGCGGAGGTTGCAGTGAGCCGAGATCACGCCATTGCCTTCCAGCCTGGGCAACAAGAGCGAAACTCTGTCTCAAAAAAGAAAAAAAAAATGCTAACTCAGCCGGCGCGGTGAGTCACGCCTGTAATCCCAGCACTTTGGGGGGCCCAGGCGAGCGCATCACCTGAGGTCAGGAATTCGAGACCAGCCTGGCCAACATGGCGAAATCCCCTTTCTACTAAAAATTAGCTGGGCGTGGTGGCACGCGCCCGTCATCCCAGCTACTCGGGAGGCTGAGACAGGAGAATCTCTTGAACCTGAGAAGCAGAAATTCCAGTGAGCCGAGATCATGCCACTGCACTCTAGCCTGGGTGACAGAGCAAGACTCTCAAAAAAAAAGGTAACTCTGTGAGGTAATGTAACAATGTATACATTACTTCAAACGATCATGTTGTATACACAATAAATGCAGACAATAAACAATTTTTAAAAAGATATTTTTCTAAGGAAATAGAAATTATCGAAATAGGTAATCTACTCAATTAACCTAAATTGTAAAACATTATAAAACACAGAGAACTGTTATAATTCATTCTCATCTATTCATTTAACTTAGGTTAGCTTAGTTTTCAATCACTACATATTCTTAAACGGAGTGAAATTAGTCACATTCCATTTATCTTCCAAATTTATCAACGTTTATTAAGATTTATTTCAAGAATAATTTGTACAGGGCCTAATTAAATTATGAACCAAGAAAGTTAGTCTTAAATGACCCCTCAATCCCTTTTCCCTGCACTTTGCTCTCTTAATCTCCTCGCCCATCAAAACTGCTTCAAGAAAAAGTTCTGATAAATTTCTTGTACTAAGGGTAAGTAAGAATGGTAAATTCCCGTGTTAAGTTCCCGCCCTTTTTGGAACGAGGCATTTTGGAACAGAAAGTGTTTTCTGGTGCCCTGAAGTCACACGATAAACCTACTTGCCTATGGGTAATCCTGTGAAGTGAATAAAGCGTCCAGGACATGCATTTAAATACGCAATTTATTTTAGTTATATAAATGGCGTTGGTTTAGGTGCAGGGTACAAACTTATTTAGAAATCATCGATTTGTTAACTGCGTTTGGCATGGGAATTTGGAAAGAGTTCGCCCGGGTTAAGACACCAATGGATAAAACACTTGTCAATCCAGGAGAAAAGGCATCTCAAGAATGGAAAGACTTGCTGGCCCAGGCTCCCTCGGGGAGCTCTAGGTGTAGAAAATGCGCGCTCTCCGTTACTTCTCGGTTACTTTGCCCAGCACAAAGGACGACGCGAATACCAACAGACTGGACGAGTCGGTGACTACAGTTTGCATTAAGAGGCGGCGCCTTTTGGGTTTCGGAGGGTTCCACTGGAACCCACGAGGGTCAGGAACACCGACGCGCGGATTCCGCCCACCAGACAGCCTGGGGAAGCGAGCCTGAAGGCGCGGCGCAGCTAGAGAGAAGAACCTCGGCAGACATGCCGCCCAGAGGCAGCTAAGGGGCCCGTGGGCAGGGCCTGCGCTCCGGCTGCGATGCAGGCCGGCTAGAGGCCGGCGCCGAGGACCCGGCGCGCGGCGGCCCCGCCCCCTCGGCTCCCCTCGCCCCGCCCCCTAGGCCCGCCCCTTCCCGGGCCGCGCACCCGCGCGCCCCGCCCGCGGGCGGAAGCTGGAGCGAGGCTGAACGCCTGACGTCAAGGCGACATCGCCAAACCTCGCCCAGATTCAGGCGTGTAAACCAGCCGGAGCGGCGCGGCAGCGGCAGGACCGCCGTGGCGCCTAGAGTAGCGACCCGGGGGGAGCGCGGGGCGACGCTGGCTGCAGGGACCCGGTGACAGCGTGAGAGGTTCGCAGAGTGAGTGCGTGGCCGCTGAGGGAAGCCGCGGCGGCGGCCGCGCGGGGCCGGGCGCCGGCTGAGGGGAGCGGGTGGGGTGCGGCGAGGCGCGGGCCGGGCGCGGCGGTCAGGGGCCCCGGCGGCGGCAGCCCCTCGGCGCGCGGCAGGTGGCGCGAGGGCCAGGCGCCGGGCCCGCGAGCGCGCTGCCTTGCGGGCCGGCGAGGAGGAGCAGCCGCCGCCGCCGCGGGAGAACAGCGCGCTTTGCGGAAGGGGTCAAATGTCTGAAATATGGCGGAGGAAGTGAGAGCCCGAGGACCCCCCCACCCGCCCGCTCTCTTCAGCCCGCGTCCGCCGCAGCTTCTCCCGCCGCCCTCCTTTCCCCGCCGGCTCCCCCGAAGACTCGCTCCCCGCCCCGAGCCCCCTCGCTTGTCGCCTGGGTTCCCTCCGTGGTATGGGTGGAAGTTAGAACGGAAACCAGAAAGTTGTCCTTTGCGAAGACCTAGCTTCTCCCAGCCCCGAGCTAGGGCGAGGAGCCTTCGGGGGAAACCACTCCCAGGCGCCCCGCGGGCTTGAGCCTGACAGCGAAAAAGTTTGCCTGAAACGGGGCTTGCTTGCTCCATTTGTTGCGGGAAGTGGCAGGAGGAAGGCAGCGGAGAGAGCCCCACTTAGTCTGGCAGCAGCCACCGTGTAGAGAAAAACTGTTAAAGGGGCCTTTCCCTTCGTCAGCAAGAGGAAATCTCTTTCTCTTAGAGGGAGAGAAAATCCAGGAAGTTTGTCCTCTTCTCTTTTTCGCCATCTCGAGGTGTCTAATCCTAAAACTATCAGCGCCATGAATTTTATTTAAAACTACGCCCAGTGAACCGGGCTCTCCGGATTTTTCTTCTGAAAAACACTGATGTCTTTTGGAGAAAAGATCATTTTTGCAAGTTAAAGCAGATGGTTTCCTTCCCCTTCGCTTTCCCCCCTCTCCCACTCTCTTTAATAGTTTAGAAAAACATTTTGGCCCTGTAACTTCTGATTGGTATGAATAGAAGCAGTTCTGTGTTGCAGTAAGGGGAAATCACATTTTTACGGGGTAGAAAGTTGACACTAAATGAAGATTGTGATTTTAGTATTTTAAAATTAATTCCGTCTAATTGGATTTTGGTTTTGCAGGCAGCATCTCATATATGTCGAGTACTTAACAATTTAAAGCTCTGACTTGTAAATTTATTTTTCAGCTCTCTTTTTTCGTAATTAGAATACTGTTTGGACTTGCTCAACAAGACCTTATCTTAACAAAAAGTAACTTATAGAAAAGGGAGACATTCATTTAACTTCAAGCCCATATTATTCTTAAAAGCTGACTCTTGAAATAGTATTTATTGAGTCATAGTGGAGTCATGGGACTTTTTAAGGGCCGGAAGGGACTATTTAGATCATCCAGTCCCACCCTGTCATTTTATGGAGGAGGAAACTGAGGCCTAGATAAGATAACCAGTTAGTGGGTCCACTGACCTTTAGGACAGTAGTCTATCCGTAAGAGACAACATGGAGAAAGAAATACAACGTTTTTATAGTGAATTATCATCTTACAAAGAATATTCTTCCCATATCGCACTTTTAAAAAGTGGGTACCTTAGTCAAATAGGAGAAAAAACCACTTGAGTAGTTTCATCCTCAGGTTTTAGGTGAGGAAACTGATACTCAGATTAAATAACTTTAAGCACACAGAGCCTGAATGATAGTCTTATTTGAGCTCATCTGTGCTTTTAATGTGTACTACGTTAGGTGTTTTCACTTGCATTTCCTTTAGTCTTATTTGAGCTCATCTGTGCTTTTAATGTGTACTACGTTAGGTGTTTTCACTTGCATTTCCTTGTTTGACGTTGACAATAAATCGTGAAGCTGCCTTATCTAAGGAAGTCCTAAAGTAAATCATTGGAACACATGTAGCCAGTTTGTTGTTTTTAATATGCCAGGTATCAAAATATAACTGAAGAACCAATGCTAAACTGACTTAATTTTAAAATGTTGTATGGGGCATGAAAATGATTGCTCTGGCTGGGCGTGGTGGTTTACGCCTGTAATCCCAGCACTTTGGGAGGCCGAGCCGAGGAAGGCGGATCATTTGAGGTGAAGAGTTCGAGAACAGCCTGGGCAACATGGTGAAACCCCGTCTTTACTAAAAATACAAAACATAGCCGGGTGTAGTGGCACGCGCCTGCAATCCCAGCTATTCGGGAGGCTGAGGCACGAGAATATGAACCTGGGAGGTTCACATTGAATGAACCAGCTTGAACCTGGGAGGCGGAGGGTGCAGTGAGCCGAGACTGCACTACTGTACTGCAGCCTGGGTGACAGAGCTAGACCTGTCTTAAAAAAAAAAAAAAAAAAAGGAGATAAGAAAATGATTGCTCTGCTCTCTTTTACATTCTCCCCTCACCCACGACCGCGTGAAAGTCATCTCTCTTACCTTCTATGACACGCATTACTTCCTGCCTCCTGTTACCATTTTATATTATTTATTCCATTGAATTGTGAACTCCAACCACAAGATATATATTGTTTTGTATGCCTTAACGCACTGGCATGGTGCCTTGCAATAGACATTCAACACCAGTTAAATGTAAGTACCATGAGGGTAGGGACTTAATCCATTTCATTCTTCACAGTAATCTTCCTAGCGCGTTGCCTGGGCACAGTGTAGCGCGTTGCCTGGGCACAGTGTAATGGTTAGCGTTTGAATTTAGGGATTAATGGTAATGAACATTCAAAGAGAGGATATTTGAAGAGAACAGTGTAATCCTTTAAAAAGAAACATTTACATATTGGCTTTGGAATCCCTTTTACTTGACAAATTAATTTTCGTTTTATCCTCAATCCTTTTCAGAATTCCAATATTTTCTCTTAGCTGTATAAAGGTAAAGTGACCCCCTCCCATAATAAAGAGCTACCATGTAAGGAGGGTATAGCAAAGAATTAATTATTAAAATAACTAGATCCATTTTTGTAAGGATCCTTTCAATTGTATCTTCCTATCTAATTCAAGATTGGTGGAAGGTCTATGCAAAGATTGATAACATGGTAACTGATTAGACATGTTATTTTAAATGCAGTCCAAGATTTGGATGAAAAGCTCACGTTCAGGTTTTTTTTGCCTTTTGTTGTAGGTACTCGATAAATATTTATTGAGGTAGTGAAACTAATCTGAAATTGGATCTGATACAGAGAATTTGACCGATTTTACAAGGTGTCCATTTACTTTTTCCCCATAAGTATTGTTTAAATAGGCTGTTTTATTATCGACTATCACACAGATCTTACTGATTTGCCTCATTTCCTTAAAGATGTAAAATAACTGTGTTTCTCTGTATGTTTGTGTTGCTAAAGAGGAGGTTGGGTATTGATCTGCAGTTTCTAGATTTGACTGGCACTAGGAGTAATTTAGCATTTATGAATTAGCTATTTACTGCTGTTTTATAGCAGTGATGTCACGTGTTCACTCTATAGAAAAGTTAGGTAAAGATTGGTCTGTCTTAAACTTTCTGAGACATAGGTTGTGACTAAAAATATGCCCTGGGTTTTCTTCCCCCTCCTGTCATTATTGAGGACTCCATGGTCTAAGAGATTAGGCTGAAGTTTTTGTTAGCCTTTTCAAATTGAATTGAATTTTAGAACAAGTTAAGACATTTTGGCTGATGCAGTGATTCATTGTAACATTGGACAAAATTTTTAGTTCAGCCATCTGTAAACAGGAGTACTGTACCATGGCTCTGGAAGCTAGTGTTTTTCTGTGTTCATAGATTATTTTGCAATGGTATTGAAAGGTACTAATTGCCATTTGAGGTCTTAAGTTCTTTGTAAATCTCATAAGCACAGTGGAAGCAGTAGCTACAAAGAATAGATGAATTTATCCATTTGCAGTAAAAACTGATTTGTATGTAATCTGTTGTACTTTGAACCCAGTTGAGCACTGGATTCTAAAACAAGTCTCTTTGGTCGTGGAGAGTTTCTATTTTAAACAAGAAAAGTTATCAGGAACTTTTGTGCTGCCTTAAAAACATCACTTTTTAAAATTCACCAGCAACAAAAAATAGTATCACTTACATTCCGTATTTCATAACATTGGACTATTTATTCCTAATGTTGGTCAAATCAAGGGTACAGTAGCAACTGATTATTTAAGCAGTAATTTAGAAAGATTTTTTTTCCTTTGAATCAGTAGAGGGTCAAAATTTTTAAAACTTTCCAAAGAACCTTAAAACAGGAAAAAATGAAAATGTGGGGGAAATGTACCAGTTTTTTTTAATTTAAATTCCCTAAAATAAAAATATTTACAACATGAGTTACAGAATTTCCATCTGATTTTTATTGTACAGGAGGAGTATATTCTGTGATATCAGTATACAATTCAAAATACAAAAAATTACCTGGGCGTAGTGGGAGGTGCCTGTAATCCGAGCTGCTTGGGAGACTGAGGCAGGAGAATCGCTTGAACCTGGGAGGCGGAGGTTGCAGTGAGCCAAGATCGCTCCACTGCACTCCAACCTGGGCGACAGAGTGAGACTGTCAAAAAAAAAAAAATTACTTAGATTGTGTATGAGGTGCCTGCATACTAGAAATGTTCTTTTGAGTTACAAATCTGTCTCTCTGACCATAGAGAGTAATTATTTAATCTTGTGAGTTTGAGTTTTATATCAAACCATTTCCTAAAGCTTACTTGTAATTACTTTTACTTTATGTTTTTGTAGTTATACATGTGTATATATATACACATACATACACACACACATATACATATATCAGTGAGACCTTTTAAATTTTAGCTGAATTCTGGTTTCATAACTTGTGATTTTTTTTCCGGTACTGGGGGATTGAATGTTTTTAACTGTTGTGCAGATAGACTGAATAAAGGAAGTGAGCATCCATTAAAAACTCTAGTAAATAATTTGGATTTTTTTTTTTTTTGAGATGGAGTCCCACTCTGTCGCCCAGGCTGGAGTGCAGTGGCACGGTCTCCGCTCACTGCAAGCTCCGCCTCCAGGGTTCACGCCATTCACCTGCCTCAGCCTCCCGAGTAGCTGAGACTACAGGCGCCCGCCACCACACCTGGCTAATTTTTTGTGTTTTAGTAGAGACGGGGTTTCACTGTGTTAGCCAGGATGGTCTGGATCTCCTGACCTCGAGATCCACCTGCCTCGGCCTCCCAAAGTGCTGGGATTACAGGCGTGAGCCACTGTGCCCGGCCTTTGTTTTTTTGTTGTTGTTGTTTTGTTTTTTGTTTTTTTTGAGACAGAGTCTCGCTCTGTCAGTCAGGCTGGAGTGCAGTGGCACGATCTCAGTTCACCACAGCCTCCGCCTCCAGGGGTCAAGCAGTCCTCCAGTCTAAGCCTCCCGAGTAGCTGGGAATACTGTGCCTGGCTAATTTTTTTTTTTTTTTTTTTTTTTTTTGAGACGGAGTCTCTCTCTGTCCCCCAGGCTGGAGTGCAGTGGTGCAATCTCAGCTCACTGCAACCTCCGCCTCCAGGTTCAAGCAGATCTCCTGCCTTAGCTAGTACTACAGGCGCACACCACCGCACCCAGCTAAGTTTTGTATTTTTAGTAGAGAGGGGATTTCACCATATTGGTCAGGCTGGTCTCGAATTCCTGACCTCAGGTGATCCACCTGGCTTGGCCTCCCAAAGTGCTGGGATTACAGGCATGAGCCACCGCGCCCGGCCAGGTTTTGTATTTTTTGTAGAGACGTTTCGCCATGTTGCCCAAGCTCACCTCAAACTCGTGGGCTCAAGGGATCTGCCCATCTTGGCCTCCCAAGTGCTGGGATTATAGGCATGAGCCACTGTGCCTGGCCCAGCATTTCACTAAGTAACTTTATTTTAAAAATATACAGTGAACTGATTGCCGAAGTGGTGGATTGCCTCTACCTGTTTCCTTTTTCTTTGCCTTGTAGGAAGGGAAAAAGATGAAAGGAAACATGTTTTGTCTATTTAGTAGCAATTTTTGGTGAAAGCTTCTGGAAAGGAAATGGAAAATGCTGGGTAAAATGAAATTATAATTATCTGTGTATTCTAAAATTTATCCTCACATTAGAATATATTTTTCAAAGTTACTTTATACTAAATTCAGGGACTTTCTAAGTTCTCAGTTAATAGAACTGAAAGGGTATCAATAAAATAAGGACTATATATATAATCTATTTTTACTTAGTTTTTATGCGCCAAAAGGTATGTATGTTGCATCCAGCTGTTTGTTACCTTGTGTTTTAAAGTTGCAGTTAGAATGTGGAATCCTATTACTACATTGTGCCAACATATTTGTGGCTGATGCTTCTAAGTTATCCACAAGCTTCTCAATACAATAGCAAAATGCAGGAATTCCTCTGGAATCTTGAATTGAGGGATAGGATGAGATATATAACATATGTTATCTGTTGTTTTCTCCTACTGCTCTTGAAATTAACAAACTTGAGATAGTGTACTGATTTGTATTTATAAGATTGGCTGAGTTCAAATATGTCTTTTTGACGTTCTTACCAATGTTTAAAATATAGAAAAGTATAAAGAAGAAAATGAGTATCATCCGTAATGCCATCACTACAATGACTTTTTTAAAGCAAAATGTGTACTTTCCTTCTGAAGCTTTCCAACCTCCTTGCCTCCTCAGTGAGAATGATGACATACTGTTGTTAGAGTTGTTGAGGATCAAATGCAGTATTACTCATGAATGTTTCATAAACCATAAAATAATACAGTAATGTACTATTTTTTTTTTTGACAGCCTCACTCTGTCACCCAGGCTGGAGTGCAGTGGCACAAACTTGGCTCACTGCAGCTTCAACCTCCCAGATTCAAGCCATTCTCCAGCCTCAGCTCCCCAAGTAGCTGGGCCTACAGGCGCATGCCACCATGCCCAGCTAATTTTTGTATTTTTTGTAGAGACGGGGTCTCACCATGTTGCCCATGCTGGTCTGAACTCCTGAGCTCAAGTAATCTGCCCGCCTCCACCTCCCAAACTGCTAGGATTACAGGCATGAGCCACCATACCCAGCTGTATTAGTTCTTGTTCTATAAAGCTTTTTTTTTTTTTTTTTTTTTTTTTGAGGTGGAGTCTGTCGCCCAGGCTAGAATGCAGTGGCACAATCTTCGCTCAGTGCAACCTCTGCTCCCAGGTTCAAGCAATTCACCTGCCTCAGCCTCTCGAGTAGCTGGGATTACAGGCATGCGCCACCACGCCTGGCTAATTTTTTTTGTATTTTTCTTAGAGACGGGGCTTCACCATATTGGCCAGGCTGGTCTCGAACTCCTCACCTTGTGATCTGCCCGCCTCGGCCTCCCAAAGTGCTGGGATTGCAGGCGTGAGCCACCTTGCCTGGCCCTATAAAGCTTTTATTCTCCTATGGCATTGCTTAAGAATCCCATTAAAGTATGAATAAGGACTAATAAATAATTGTGAGTTTTGATTAGTGTAACAAATGAATTACCTAGATCAGTATTTTCAAGGTATGGTCCAAGGAATCCTGGAGGTCCCCTAGACATTTTTGGCGAGTCTACAAGTGCAAAACTATTTTTATAATACTGAGACATTCTTTGCCGTTTTCTTTGTAGTGACATTTGTACCTGTAGTATAAAAACAGTGGTGGATAAAACTTCTGGCGCTTTAGAATAAACCAGGTTAGAGTACTTCACTGTCCTAGTAATCATTGTATTATTCACTGCCATGCACTCAGATTTTTTTTTAAGTTTCACCTAAATGCTCTTGATGAAGAAGTAAAAAAATTTTAAACTAAATCTCTACCTTTGTACACATCTTTAATATACTGTAACAAAATGGGAAGTATGCTTAAAACACTGGCGAGGCCATGGACAGCAAGCCTCCCAGCACTTTGGGAGGCTAAGTCCAGCTTGGGCAATGTAGTGAGAGCCTGTCTCTCCTATTAAAAAAAAAAAAGTTAGTGTGGTCATGCACATCTACAGCTACTCTGGAGGCTGAGGTGGAAGGATCTCTTGAGCCCAGGAGTTGGAGGCTGCAGTTAGCTGTGATCGTGCCACTGCGCTTCAACCTGGGTGACAGAGCAAGACCCTGTCTCGAAAAACAAAACAAAAACACTTGGCAGCATACTGAAATATAATGGTTGTTTCTAGGGAAAGTATTTGTGTGATTGAGTCACACGCTGAATCAATCTTCATATAATGCCATTTTTGCTTAAAAGAATGCCAGACTTGGGCATTAGGCTGACATTTTCTTGAAAACAGTGAGGCTTTGCTTTAGGGAAAATAGTGGTAGTATTTATGGTCGATGATAAAGTTCCTAGATTTTAAGCAAAAATTTTAGAAAGCTTGTATCAGCTGCTGTAAGTATATAATGAAATCTGTCATTATTTGATTATCTGCATAACTGAGTCAGTATTTCCAAATGATCAATGCATAGTATTATAAAAATCATACATGGGTAAGAAATCTTTACAAAGTGTCAGCTAGACCAATGGATTTTAATGTTATAGAGAACATAAAAGTTTATCAATAAGGTATCCTGTTCCATATTGCAACCAATTGCTGAGCTTTGGTGTAGTGTCAAAGACCAGTATCCAGATTTATCTGAAAATGCTATTAAAATATTCCCAACTGTCTAATGTATTTTGTATTACTTATTTTTCCATGCTTTGCTCTCAGTGTTTAATGTCTTCTTTGATTTATTTTGTTTATATTTTTGTTGGAAACAGGAATGGGAGCCATAGATAAATGTGAAGCAATGTTTTCATGTGCTTTATCTTAAAATCTCCTATTAATATATAATCAGTTTAACTTCTTTGTAGTCTTCTCTGTGCATTCCATTCAACTTTTGGTCTTGGTAATGGATTAGATAATAGTTATTTTTAAGCCTATTTTTGGTTTTAATATTTGTTTTGTATACCTGACTGCTCATCTATAGACAGAATTCCCTTGTGTCCAAAGTCTAACATAATCCTTAAGTAGATTTTTAGTAGTTGACTTTCTCAGTTTTAAAATATTTGATAACTTTTCCATAGTAAAGCTGTAAGTTTCAAGTTTAGTAATGTCTTTTTGACCTGAGAATTTGGTGTGTTGTCTTACCTTAAGTAGACACTTTTCAAAAACACACCTGTAGAATGATCCTTTTTTTACCTTTCAGGAGAATGCTGTTTCTTGGTGGTGGTGGTTTTTTTATTTTTTTATTTTTTTTTATTTTTATTTTTATTTTTTTTAAGACTGAGTCTCTCTATTGTCACCCAGGATGGACTGTGGAATGCAATGGTGCAATCTCAGCTCATTGTAACCTCCTCCTCCCAGGTTCAAGCGATTCTCTTGCCTCAGCCTCCCAAGTAGCTGGGATTGCAGGCACCACCACCATGCCTGGCTAATTTTTGTAGTTTTAGTAGAGACAGGGTTTCACCATATTGGCCAGGCTGGTCCCGAACTCCTGACCTCAGGTGATCCGCCCACCTCGGCCTCCCAAAGTGCTGGGTAGAGCCACTCTGTGGCCTTCTTTTTTATGTTAATTTAAAAACATTTGTAGCAATCCTTGTTAAACTGTTTTTATAAACTCATGGGATAAGTCCAAATTTTATTTTCCTTTTCTTTTTTTTTTTTTTGAGACAAGGTCTCACTGTCATCTAGGCTTGAGTGCAGTGTCACAACCACGACTCACTGAAGTCTCGACCTCCCGGGCTCAGTTGATGCATCTCAGCGTCCCAAGTAGCTGGGACTACAGGCGCATGCCACCACACCCAACTAACTTTTGTAGAGACAGGGTTTTGCCATGTTGCCCAGGCTGGTGTCAAACTCCTTGGCCTAATCGGTTCTTCCACCTCAGTCCTCCAAAGTGCTGGGATTACAGGAGTGAGCCACCGCACCGGTCTGGTTCCACATTTTAAAGGATTTTTAGACTGTGTTTGGATCGAGTAATCAGTTTCAGATTAGGAGAGTGTTAAGAAAGATAGTTAAGTTACAGTTTGTATTGTGCACAGTTTCTTGGAAATTTAGTGCCAGTTATTTCCCTAGAGAGATTAAAATGGAGAGAAAAGATAATTCAGTCTGAACACCAGTGTTGCAAAGAACAAAGTTGACACCAGAGGAAGAAAAAGGTTTAGGGAAGGAATACATGTGAAAATGCTAACTTCAGGGTAGCTTCAGGGATTAAGCATTATAGAACTCCTGCCTGCATGTGCTAATCCCATAGAGAGCAAGGGAATTTAACAGGAAGCTTTAGTGCTCCCTATATTAAATAATTAACTGGTCTGCTGTTCTAGCAATTCTGAATTAGGGAACATACTGAGATCGTATTTTATGTCCAGGACATCCAAATTAGTCACAAGGTTGTCACTGACTATTATTTATAGAGTTTTAGTTGCTAGTTGAAAATATTGCATTAAATCCTTCTATTTTAGCTTGTTTATACTTGTGTTTTTTTCTTCCAGGAGCTCTCAACTTAATCATCCTTCAGCAAAAAAGAATTAAGACTAGGTTTGCAAGCTTTTAAGGACAGAAAAAGCATTTATAACATTTCTCTGTTTAGATGAAAGTGATGATGGTTAATGATGGTGATAATAGGCAATGAAGAGGTGAAAGGGCAGGAAGTAGAGCAGAAAAGAGAGTGAGGATGGTGATTAAGAGGTTCTTGTTAAGTGCAGGACTACTGTTAAAAGCAATTCACTTCACAGTTCTGGTCAACAGGAATGATAAACTCAACATTGAAAAACACTTGTGATGCTTTAGTGGTTGATACATCTTACCCATCAGAAGGTCCTATGTAGAGGATAAACTGGCATTATATTTGAGTTAGAGATTATAGTCTTAAAATTTCATCACTAAGCAGTTTGACTGGAGAGCCTTTGACTAGTTCTGCTTCCCAGCAGTCCCTTGTGTACTTTTCTCTGGACCTTCAGGTACTCAAATTAGACCTTTATTTCATTGTCCTCATATGTTTTTTTAGCTCATTCCATTGGGTGTGAAATCAAATCTGAGAACTCAGGTATTTGTTTTAAGTAGTTAGACCTTTTATTGTACTCTGTTGTCTTAAAAAGCATGGTTTAGTGGTGGTAACATTGACCTAGGTGACAGGCTTCAGTTTAGTTTCTGGCACTGGTCATGAAACTTTGAACAAGTTAACTCCTCTCTTAGGACCTTATCTTTATGTAGAGAAAGTTGGACTAAATGGCTGTTAAGGTCTTTTCGGGCTTTCAAATGCTGTGTTTCTGTAATACCACCCTTGTTTAAGCCACAGTCATCTCTTGTCTGGACTCACAGGAGCTTCCTAACTTGTTTTCATTTTTGTCCTTCCCCACATTATTTTCTACCCAGAATACAAAGTGACCTTTTTAAAAATGTAAATCAGATCATGTAATACCCTCCGGTCCCAATTTACCCTTAAGAACCAGTTCCTTATCAAGGCCTAGAAGGTACTGCATAATCCAGTTCTTGCTTACTTCACAACTTTATCCCCATTACTCACTAAGCTCTAGCCAGCTGTACTTCTTTCTGTGACAATCTTTTGCCAGCCCTCTGCAATTCTGCCTCAGTCTCAACAGTGGATCTCAGTTCAGATGTCACATTTACAGAGTTTTTTCCTGATCACCTTATATAAAGGAGCATTCCTCTTCATTACCTCTGTAGTTCTTAATCATAATCAATAATTATATTTATCCATTTGTTTGCCTCTCATCCCCTCTAAACTGTTTCAGGACAGGAAGATCATGTTACTTTTCCACCACTATCTCAAATGGTTAGCCCAATAACTGCCTAGTGCTCAAGAGAATTATTTTAGTTAGAAAAATACATAAAGTATGTAACGGTTTGTCCATATCAATTCCCATAATAAGCTACTCCTTAAACTGGTTTTTTTCTTCACTCTTTTGGTAGTGGCCTGGTCTCATAATCTTGCCCAGGCTAGTCTGGAACTACTGGGCTCAAGGATCTTCCTGCCTCAGACTCCCAAAGTGCTGGGATTTACAGGCGTGAGCCACCACACCCAGCCTTAAACTAATTTTTAAAGTTTTATATCTATGTCCAACTATAATTCCTCATTTTTTATTTAGGTCATCTGTCTCTTGAGGACTATTTGATCTGATTGCATGTTATTGAAAGCTAATTGTTCTTAGTTACTATATGTTAGGATTAAATTGAGTAATTTTGCACAAAAGGTTTTTAGCAAAGACATGAAAAGTTAACCAGTATAAAACTGTTAGCAGTTCAGAATATCCAAATGAGTGATATAAATGAGTGCTTATTAGAGTCAAAGGAAGAAGTGAAACCCTTAGGATCTAGTAGTTAGAAAAGACAGTAAAAATAAGGTAGAATCTGCATATTAAAGGAGTTTTAGATTAACAGTGAATTACAGTGAGCAGTACTACAGAACTACAGAAATTGAAGTAAATTCAAGAGTGTTTTGCCCTGGTAGATGTTTGTAAAATTGATTATAGGGCCATAATCCCTTATCTATATATAACCTTTGGTGCCAGGTATTTTTGGATTTCAGAATTTTGAGGAAAGATTTGTTTTAGATTTTGGTAAGAGTAATCAAACACAATATTAATGTGGAACATGGATAGTCACATTAAGTGAGAGAAATAAAAGATAAAAATAGTCTCCCATCAGTGCTCAGGTGAAGTTTTGCCATTATATATTAGGATTAAGCTTTGCCACCAACATAGTTATAGAACTTTGAGTTTTCAGAGATTTTAGGATTTCAGAATTTCTATAAGAAGTCGGTTTCAGGCTGGGTGTAGTGGCTCACGCCTGTAATCCCAGCACTTTGGAAGGCCAAGGTGGGTGGATCACGAGGTCAGGAGATCGAGACCATCCTGGCTAACACGGTGAAACCCATCTCTACTAAAAATACAAAAACTTAGCCGGGCATGGTGGCGCACGCCAGTAGTCCCAGCTACTCAGGAGGCTGAGGCGGGAGAATCGCTTGAACCCAGGAGGCGGAGGTTGCAGTGAGCCGAGATTGCGCCATGGCATTCCAGCCTGGGCGACAGAGTGAGACTCTATCTCAGGGAAAAAAAAAAAAAAAGAGAGAGAGAAGAAATTGGTTTCAAATGAGTTAAAAAGGCTTTATTCATTACTGTTTGGAGAAGATACCAGGGTCTGAAAATGTTACTTTGAAGCAATTAGCTTTAGAAACCCTCTTTGCCAAGGAATTGTTTGACCCTGACTCAGGATGGAATGCAGTGCTGAGGGTGATGAGTCTTTAGGGTATGGGAGAATCACCTCATTCTATAATTGCAGAGTCCAGTTAAATTTGGAAATAGTTAAGATTGGTGCCTAACAAACACTAACATTTTTTTAAATGTTTAAATATTGAGAGCTCATAACTACAGTTTCATCTTGGTGATTTTTTTAGTCTTATAAGGTATTAGGCAGTTTGTTTCCTAATAATGTTTTTAAGAATTATTTGATACATTTAATTGTAAGAATACAATAGATTAGAATAGGAATATTATAAATAGGACTAATGTAATCCTCATTTAAAAATCCTCAGACCAGACACGGTGGCTCACGTCTGTAATCCCAGCACTTTGGGAGGCCAAGGCAGGCAGAGCACTTTGGGAGGCCAGGGCGGGCGGATCACTTGAGGCCAGAAGTTCGAGACCAGTCTGGCCAACATGGTGAAACCCCATCTTTACTAAAAATATGAAAATTAGCCAGGCATGGTGGTGTGTTCCTGTAGTCCCAGCTACTCGGGAGGCTGAGCAGGAGAATCGCTGGAACCTGGCAGGCAGAACTTGCAGTGAGCTGAGATCGTGCCACTGCACTCCAGCCTAGGCGACAGAGTGAGACTCCGTCTCAAACAACAACAACAACAAAAGCTCCTCGATGGAACCATTTGATAGTGACAAGGATTGAAGTAAGTATCTGAAGAGGCTACTTAGAAACTCAGAATTGGTTACAGGAAGTGACTGCCCACTTTCCATGTGTTCTTCAGATGCTCTGGTTATTCTAACAGCCTAGTTAACCACCCAGACTTTGGTTCTCATTGCCTTTATCCATTTGTTTGGTGTATATACTAATGTTCAACGATGCACACATAATGCATGTGATGTTTTTTGGATACCGTCTTATCACTTGTAGAATTGCCATGATAGGCATTTTTTGGAGCTACTTTAAGTACTTGCTGGCCTAGTAATTATGCAAGTAAGTAATTAAGTGTTTATTCATATGTGAAAGCCCAATGTAAGCATTATTTATGTCTTTCAGTGAAGTGTGGTGTGCCTTTCATTTTTCTGAGTGGTCTTTATTTTATGGAATATTAAATGGATCTTTGAATAAACTCAAGAGGGTAGATTATAAAAGGAAGAACTGTTAAATTAGTCAAAAACAACTTTATAACACAATTAGCTGCATAAGCCAGTGCGTGCGTAAGCAGGTAGTATAAATGCTTAGGTTGAGATACTAAAATTATTATTAGAGAAAATTACAGGAAGTACCTATGCTCCCACTATGTTTTGTTACTTGGTTAATTTTTCTCCTCTGAACTTCTGGCAGGTTTACTGGGGAATTTTCCATTAGGAATATTCTGGTCCTTAAGTTTCATTTTGAATGTATAATATAATCATGCAGATTACGAACCCACAATCTAAAATCAAGGCATTCTTTTTTAAAGTTTCAGATGAGGCTGGGTGTGGGGCTCATGCCTGTAATCCCAACACTTTGGGAGGCCGAGGCGGGTGGATCATGAGGTCGAGAGATCGATACCATCCTGGCCAGCATGGTGAAACCTCCCCGTCTCTACTAAAAATACAAAAATTAGCCGAGCGTGGTGGCGCGCACCTGTAGTCCTAGCTACTCGGGAGGCTGAGGCAAGAGAATTGCTTGAATCCAGGAGGCAGATGTTGCAGTGAGCCAAGATCGTGCCGCTGCACTCCAGTCTGGCGATAGAGCGAGACTCTGTCTCAAAAAAAAAAAAAAAGTTTCAGGTGTATTCAGGAGTGGTCATATTAAGCTTGTCACCTGATCCTGGTTATGAGGTTAACAGCAAAATGAAATAAAATATTTTTCTGAGCCATTTGTTTCTCCTCTCATGGAAGACACTAATTCTGTTTATTTCTATATTCGGCCTTGTGTTGAAACAGACTGTAAAATCATGTTTTAAAAAAGCTTCACCCATCCTTGTGGAGGGTGGTGGTTTGCAAAAGCACCACCCCACTTAAGCATTTATATTGAGAAGATATTTATGGCATTCTTCCATTCATGAAAATGGGTATGCTTTGTTCTGGAGTTCTTACCTTGATTTATCTACTAACACTAAAGTTCCTCACTTCCAATTTCTTATACCTCTAACCCAACAGCTTATAAACTGCATGTAGTATAGTATTTGCTTGAAATATGTGAAAGTAGTTATTTTCCCTAACTAATAGGGATATTTCTGTGGTGGTTGTAGTTACTTTGCAACCTGTTCAGCAAATATTATAGGGCGTTTTTGATGGTATCTTTAAATTTTGGACATAGAGAACCATCTTGGATAACCTCTTTCCCCCCAGTCTCAGTCATCCCTTTGGAGGTAGTGTCTCATTTTTAATCTGTGACTTGTGGAAGTTAAGGCATTTGAGTAGCTTATTTAAAGTATTAATAATCTGATTTCTGGAGATCTGAGGAATAGCAGACACCCTTTTCTGTATTAAATTGGGGAAATTTATTTTATAGGCAAAAAGATGAATAAAATGGTCCTAGTAGACAGCCCCTAATATTTCTGGTCTCGGGTAAAGGTCTTAAGGAAGAGGGAAGGTAGTATCAGAATTTTCCAGGGTGTTTTTTTTTTGTTGTTTGTTTGTTTGTTTGTTTTGGGTGGACAGGAAGTAGAATTTATTGGTGAGTATTAAGAGGGGGCAGCACAGTGGAAGCCCTCATGAGTGCAGGGCCCGCCACTTGTCCACAGGGCCACGATTGGAAATGTACTTGACCCGACAGCCATCTGGGATGAGCCGCTTCTCAGTCACCATGTCTTCAAACTCATTGGCATTGAACTTGGTGAAGCCCCACTTCTTTGAGATGTGGATCTTCTGGCGGCCAGAAAACTTGAACTTGGCCCTGCGCAGGGCCTCAATCACATGCTCCTTGTTCTGCAGCTTGGTGTGAATGGAGATGATAACTTGGCCAGTGTGAACCCTGGCCACAGTGCCCTGGGGCTTCCCAAAGGCACCTCGCATGCCTGTTTGGAACCTACACTGGGGTAGTGCAAGGTCAGAAACATGAACATCCATCTGAAAGGACTGTCTCCAGGGTCCCTTAGAGCAACCCATACAATACAACACACAGGCTGCATACACTACCAAGGAAGCTGCTGTTTGCAGCCATTGCACACTGGGCCCCCCCATGAGGAAAGGAACTCAGTTGGCTTAATAGGCTGCAGCAGGGTGTTTTTTAAAACACACAAATATACCCAATCCCTACTAGAATGAGAGATTTTACTAATAATAGTGTTAGGAGTATAAATGGTTTGGTAGCCAACCACTACTTTAAAATTGATTAGGTCTCCCGGGCTTCTGGGCCTTCACATTTAAATTTGACCTGACCTTGAAACTTCACCTCTCGTTATTCCCAGCGTGACTTTTGTTTTACCCACTTTTCGAAATACCCCATGTGTAGCTCCTTACTTCACGTCATGCTGGAATGTGACCCATACCAGCCAAACTACATCTAACAGAAACATAATACCTAACTAAAAGCGTCTTTTATCATATAGATAGATGTACAGGGTATGTTAATTTATCTTTAGAGAGACTCCCCAGTATACTGAAAAAACAGACCTAAGTTTTGGTAGATAGCCTTGCTTTATAGAAAATGAAAATGGGCCAGACAGTGGTGACTCATTCCTGAAATCCCAACACTTTGGGAGGCCAAGGCAGGAGGATCACTTTTGAGGCCAGGAGTTTGAGACCAGCCTGGGCAACATAGCAAGACCCTGTATCTGCAAAAAATTTAAAAAAAAAAATTTAATCAGGCATGCAGCACACGCCTATAGTCCAGTTACTCAGGATGTTGAGGTGGGTAGATCGCTTGAGCCCAGGAGTTGAGGCTGTAGTGAGCTATGATTGCACCTCTGCACTCTAGCCTGGGTAACAGAATGAGACCCTGTCTCTTAAAAAGAAGGAAATGAAGATGCCAGATACTAGCTTTTCCAGCCTCCCTTGCAGCTAGGGCACAAGTACTTGACCTAGGCCCCACAAAATTACATGTACTTTAACTTGAGATGGAAGAGATGATAAATTTCTGATAGATTTCTCTTCTCCTCTTGGTTGATGTACACCACAAATCAGTTTTCTGCTGCAGAAACAACTGATACAAACTGAAGCATCTACTGTTAGTGATGTGACAGCAGTTTCCTCACCTGGCCAGTTTTGTAATACGGTTTCGGGTGTTTGTGGCTATGTTAGCTTCCAACTTCATTCTCTAGTTTTCCACAGTAATTTTGTAAGTTGCTTGGTATTTTTTAATGACTTATTTTTATATGTAAATGTGATTTGTATAACTTCCAACAGGAAACCTTGTCCAATGCGTGATTTTAGAAAATTTAGCAAAAACTTTTCAAAGGGATATTTATGTGAAGAAAATGAGTGGTATCCTTGTGAGAGAAAAGTACAAGAATGAGACTGGGGCAAACTGCTTTTCCAGAAATAAAGAGGCCCTGATGGTGTCACTTTTGGTAGATCCAAGCTTTTCATGAATATTGAAGCTCTGGATGCCTTGTTCAGTAGTTTCATAAGCAAAAATCCAAAAGTGTAGAAAGAGTTTTAATTGAAATTAAATAAAATCAAAATTTTAGTTTTACAGTTACACTAACCACATTTTAAGTCCTTGATAGTCATCTGTGGCTAGTGGCTACTATACTGGACAGTCCAGATAGAACACTATCATTACAGGAAGCTCTATTGGACAGCACTAGTCTGGATTCTAATCCTAAATCTACAGTCTTGTGGTTCTGCAACCTCAGGTAAGTAATCTGAATCACAAATCCTTTATCTCTTTTTATTTATTTATTTATCTTCTATCTGTCTGTCTGTCTGTCTCTGTCTATTTTGAGACAAGTCTCACTCTGTTGCCCAGGCTGGAGTGCAGTGGTGCAGTCACAACTCACCTCAGCCTCCTGAGTAGCTAGGGCCACAGGCATGCACCACCATGCCCAGGTAATTTTTTGTAGAGACAAGGTTTCACAATGTTTCCCAGTCTGGTATCGAACTCCTGAGCTCAAGCCATCTACCTACCCCAGCCTCTCAAAGTGCTAGGATTACAGGCGTGAGCCCTTGTGCCCAGCCAAATCCTTTATCTAAAGACAGTACCTTATTTTCATTGTTGCTCTGAAGATTGAAATTTAATATATGGAAGGACATGGTAAGAGCTTTAAAAGCACCATACAGACATGTCAGTGTTCAGATTAGAAATATATTTATTGGTTAACAAAGGATTTTTCTAAAATAATCTGAAGAGAAACTTCAGAACCTCAGTGGCATGAATACTTTGATGTTAGACCGTGTGTATTTTAACCACTTGAAGAATCTAAATGCACAAAATTAACAGATTAGATTTTCATTTTAAATGTGAAATATATTTTACCCAAGCTGTCCTTTTCAATTTTATCTATAAATCTTAAAGTTTTTATATGTACTGGGGGCTTACCTTCTTGCTGTAGGTTCCCTTTATATATACTGTTTTATCATCCTCATGAATGATCTTAAACAACTCAATCTGTTAACTAAGTGAATAATGTACCTGTCACATAGAGGTATTGAATGAATGTTATAAATATGATAGCTATCTATGCCAGAAATCGTTGGTTTTGGTAGACAGACTTCAGCATTCAGCACGATCATTCTCAGTAATTCTTTATAGGTGTTTTGATTTGTTTTGAGGGGGTTGTTTGGCATATATTTTGCAACTAATTAATTCATTTTTGTAAAACCATCAGACAACAGTGCTAGATGTTTAAAATATTCTACAGCAGAAATTTTCAAATGTTTTTGGAATCATTAATACAACCCTGTCTCTCCTTCACTTAAACCACAGTAGCCATTGGTAATTGAGAACTAGATTCTTTCCCTTTGAGTCCTAGTTGATCTCAAAAATCATTCTCAACACTGCACTTAGCTACAGGTAGCTGTTAATATTTTGAGTTGATGACTAAGCTGAAACCCATTTGCCACCTGTGAGTTAATGGGCAAGGTCTATCCTTGTCTCTTCCAGGCTCTAGCCTATAGTGCAAGTGTTGGCAAACTTTTTCTGTAAAGGACCTGATAACTATTTTAAGCCTTGTTAACCATACAGTCTCTTATCACAACCATTCACCTCTGCTATTGTAGCCTGAAGCCAGCTGTGGACAAGACACAACAAATGAACTATGTTCCATTAAAACTTTATGAGTGTGACTGTGTTCCAACAAAATTTTATTTACCAAAAAAAACAAAAACAAAAAAACAGGGAGCAAATGGGATTTGGCCTGGGAGTTCTAGTTGGCCAACCTCCCCTCTAGGGCAAGAAACTGGTTTTGATTCATTCAACAAATAATTAGGTGTCTTCCATATTCCAGGCACTGTGTTAAGTTTTGATTATATAGCAATAATCATTACACGTAGGCCCCAGGTCATGAGGTATTTAACCCTTAACTGAGTATGGTTTTGGGGCTTTTTGCTTTTTTGGTTTTGGGGTCTTTTTTGTTTTTGTTTTTTTGTTTTTTTCAAGGCAGGTTCTCACTCTGTCACCCAGGCTAGAGTGAAGTGGCGCTGTCACAGCTCACTGCAACCTCAACCTCCCCAGGCTCAGGTGATCCTTTCACCTCCCATCCTCCCGGGTAGGTGGAACTACAGGCGCAGGCCACCACGCCTGGCTAATTTTGTGTATTTTTTTGTAGGGGTGGGGTTTCGCCTTGTTGCCCAAGGATTACAGGTGTCAACCACCGCATCCAGCCTGAATTTGTTTTTTTTTTCATGTACTTTGGCAGATTCGAAGTACTTTTTTGAGGGAAAAATGGAGTCTGCCCCATACATCTGCTTTATTTGTTAATACATGTGAGGTTGTAGGCAAATACCCTAAGTGCTATGTTCTGTGATAGTGGTATAACTAAATGTAACTTCAATGTGCCTTAGATATTAGATGCCATGGTATCAAAATTAATATCCTGTTATAAAAAATAGGGAAGCAAAAATGTTTGCATATGATACCTACCCTGGCTGCACATAGCAGATACTTAATATCCATATAATATTGAATAAAGCTGAAATTACCAGTTTCTTAACTATCCTTATGTCACTTTCTTGCAGTTTCTTCCATTTGGTATGCTATTTCTGACCTCATTTTTTGTTTTTCGCCAAAAAATTACCACATATTACTCATATTTTAATGAAATGCTTACCATGCCTAGATGTATTGTTCAGCCTTCTACTGTTAGAACTTCTTTCGTTAATTTAAAAGTATCTTTAGTTTTCTCAGTATTCATGTTTATCTTCAAAATGTCTATTGTTGTTGCTTATTAAATGAGTCAGAGCTCTTCACTGATACTCAGAGATCTCCTTAATCTTAACTGAAGATTACTGCTATTTTTATTTTCCTATTCCTTTGTGCCCTGTGAGCCAGTCAGACTGCTTTTTCCGCTATAGTCTAATTAATGTTCCCATGTTATGCTGCCTTTTGTGCCTTTGCTCTCACTTTTCTTATCCCTGGTATGTTCTTTCCTGTTGAAATATTGTAACTTTTTTTTTTGCCACCCTCTTCATAAATCTGATCTCTCCTTCTGAACTCCCATAGTATTTTGTACATCTCATGATATTTTTCATATTTTTATGTCTCCATCTTTTCCTACAAAATTGTAAGCTTTTTGAGAGCAGGTATGTTTTGTCCATCTTTCAGAATATGAAATAAGAAGCAAATTCCTGTCAGAACATATTCCACCTAAAATGGCCAACCATTCTTGTTTTCCCAGGATGGAGAGTTTCCTCAGACATGAGACTTTCCGTGCTTAAACCTGGACCGTTGGTCACTCTGATTCCACTTCATGATGTAGCCATCTTTTTTGCATATCAGTGCTTTACTGCAGGTTTTTTTTTTCTTTTTCTTTTTAAAGAATAAACACATAAAATGAACATGAAGGAAACAGTTTTTTGGGTTTTGGATTTGTTTTTTTTTTTTTTTTGTTTGTTTTTTTTTTCCAGACTGTTTGGCTGTCACCCAGGCTGGAATGCAGCCACGGTCTCAGCTCACTGCAACCTCCGCCTCCCAGGTTCAATTCTTGGGCCTCAGTCTCCTGAGTAGCTGGGACTACAGGTGTGTGTGAACATACCCGGCTAACTTTTGTATTTTTATTAGAGACAGGGTTTTGCCATGTTGGCCAGGCTGGTCTCAAACTCCTGGCCTCAAGTGATCCTCCTGCCTCAGCCTCCCAATGTGTTAGGATTACAGGCATGAGCCACTATGCCCAGCCAAACAAAAATTTTTTTTAATTAACAAAGCAAAATTACTTGTGCCTTTTAAGCAAATGTTTGGAAGATTATACTCATATGTAGAAATGTAAAGATCAGATTCAGATGATAAAAAAGGCCAAAATGTGGGAAAATTTTGACTAAAGTTGAAAAAGAATGATGTCCTTTTCACAAGCAGAGGGACTCTTCAGTAGGTTTGGTTTATGGTTAGTAGACACAGTTTTTTTTTAGAGTAGACCCTGTAAAAGAATGTGGAGTAAATGGTGGCAGTGGTTTGACCACAACAGTGGTGTCTATTGCTAGAGAAATTAAAAATAAGATATAAGATACTTAACTCTCCTTTTTACAAAAGGCTTCAGATAAAGAGGAAATGGGAGCAAATCCAGAGATTATAGGCACTGTATGGGCTAATGATTTTTTTAGAGATGATGCCTCACTATGTTGTCTAGGCTGGTCTGGAACTCCTGGCCCCAAGCAGTCCTCCCACTCAAGCAAGACTGAAGTAACTGGGACTATAGATGTGAGCTATCATGCCCAGTTGGCAGGCGATTTTTATATGTTATGGTTTATTGTACAATACAAGCTATTCACTGCGTGTTTTATTGTGAGAAGCTCACTAAGTTAGAAAGGTTTTCAGTTTTGTGCAGTATTTTTTTCTGTTCCTATTTCTATTTCTCATAAGCTGGGAAAAACATCATCAGAGTTCATTGGGTGACATCTTACATCTAAAACCTTAAAACTAAGTTGAGATTTATTATCACAAAATAAATTCCCCCATACCTCCACTGAACCCCCCACCACCCATGACTTGATGACTTCAATCATACTCATCCCGTTCCCCAGAGCGCCCTCACTTTCCAAGTGAACTCCCCTATTCCCTAATGATTTATATATCCACTGGTCTGGTTTAAGTATCCACTTAGGAAGCCTTGCCTGGTAGTTCTTTATAGATAGACAATTGTTCTCTTCTCTGCATCCACAGCAAGCACTTTATTCTGTAGACCCTGCTTCATTGTGAGCTAACACAGCGCAAACACTGTGAACATTTTAATTTATAAAACAGAGTGTCTTCTGGGCTTTAATATGTAGTTGTCACATTTGCTTTTCCTCAGATTTCTGGGCCACATAACCTCTGTCACAGTTAAAACTAATATCTCGGCTGGGTGCGGTGGCTCAAGCCTGTAATCCCAGCACTTTGGGAGGCCGAGGCAGGCGGCTCTTGAGGTCAAGAGTTTGAGACCAGCCTGGCCAATGTGGTGAAACCCCGTCTCTACTAAAAAATACAAAAATTAGCCAGGCATGGTGGCGTGTGCTCGTAGTCCCAGCTACTCAGGAGGTTGAGGCAGGAGAATCACTTGAACTTGGGAGGTGGAGGTTGCAGTGAGCTGAGATCGTGCCACTGCACTCCAGCCTGGGCAATACAGTAAGACTCTGTCTCAAAAAAACAAAAAAACTTAACATCTCTAATCTGGTCATTGAAATTGAGGTGTAAAGCAAATTAATGTTTTCTCGTTGCCTCTTGTATCCTCCTCTTCCCGTGTAAGAAATAATAAGGCCCAGTATAAGGTAGTGGAGTAGAGAGAATGGAATTGATTCCAGAAATACCAAGGTAGAATGAATCAGACTTGATAATGGAGTGAAGAGAGAAGAATCCATGACAACTCCCAGGTATACAGCTACCTATTAAAATAATATGCTATTGAAGTCCTTTAGGTGTCTTAAGCACTATAAACACCTAGATAGATATAATTTTAAAAAATAGCAAATTAACATTTACTGGCTACTTCCTATGTGTTACTCATTGTGCTACACATTTTGCATAGGGTAAGTTATTTCATTTGAATCTTTAAGAACTGTAAGAAGTAGATACTTTTATTTCCATTTTCAAATGAGGAAATGAGACACAGTTTAAAATAACGAGACCAAAGCCACTCAAGTAGAACTGATTCCAACCCAGACAATGGGATCTAAAGCCTATACTGAGTCAGTATGCATCCCTGTAGATTTTACTGCTAGTTCAGATGACAGGGAAAAAAGGACATTTTTTTAAGTCACATCTAGAGAATTGGGAGCAGGGAGGAGTTCTACACAAATACAGCCTATTTGGAAAGATCTGATAGAAACTAATAAGGTGATCTTGAGCCTATATTATTATTTTTTTTTTTACCTGTTTTTGAATTGTTGGTCTCTCCTTTTTTAAAAAATCACTTAACTATTTTGCTTATCTCTTGACTCGGCTGAGAAATCTATTAAACTGGTTCTTCTGCATTTGTCAGATTGTTGATAAATTGTTACCCTCTATTCTGTATTCTACCATACATGATCAAATACTGAACTGAAAAGGTAACTATAGAAATAAAGCTGGAAAAGCTAACCTTACGTTGCATGTCAAATTATATGTTGTTGAATATTTCAGGGAGAAAGTTGGTGTGATTAATTGAAAAAACTTGATTTACTAGCAGTATTAATCCATGAAAAGGGCAAGGGAATTTTTTTCTTTCTTGAGGTATTATAAATATGATCAGAATAGAGAAAATGCTATACACAGTTTGATAATCTACAAATTTTGCACTTTCTAGATTTAGAAATCTTGTTCACAGGAGATCTTTCTTGGCAGAATGAGTAAGATTGGAAACATTTTCCATGTGTCCTCATTATGAGAGAGGCAGACAACTCAAAGTAAATATGATAAGCAGTCTTCATTTTAGCAGCTTTCTATTTATTTTATAGTTCCTTGTTAGAAGTTTTATTTTTAAAAGAGGGTAGGAGAGGCAGTGTTTGGGCCCCTTATTTTTTCCTTCAAAAAGAATTTTTAAAGTCTGTCATTGTGTTAAACAGATTCATAACAGGTCCTTCTGACAGTTGAATTAGTTGATTTTATTTGGGAATGAGAAAAGGACACAGTTACCCTCTTTAGCTGTTAAAGTATTACTTTTGGAGTTGGAGATGGAAAGGAGAAATCAAGTATCTTCTCTTCCAGAAAGTGCAGTGGGAGAAGTAATGTTACCTGACTTCAGGAACCAGTATTTAAGGCCTCTTTTTTTGAGACAGAGTCACTCTGTCACCCAGGCTGGAGTGCAGTGGTGCGATCTCGGCTCACTGCAACCTCCGCCTCCTGGGTACAAGCAATTCTCCTGCCTTAGCCTCCCTAATAGCTGGGATTACAGGCGCCCGCCACCTCACCCAGCCAATTTTTGTATTTTGGTAGAGACGGGGTTTCACCATATTGGCCAGGCTGGTCTCGAACTCCTGACCTCAAGCAATCCACCCGCCTCGGCCTCCCAAAGTGCTGGGATTACAGGCATGAGCCAGCGTGCCTGGCCTACTTAGGCCTGTTTTTATAATTTAGGGTCACAGAATTTCAAACTGGGGTTAGGGGGTGAGTGTAGTAGTTAAACAACTTGAGATTGGAGAACTGCTTTTGCAAAATTTCCATTTTGGTTATACCCATGAAATTTTTTTTTTGTTACGAAGTCTTGCTCTGTAGCCCAGGCTTGAGTGCAGTGGCAAAATCTCTACTTACTGCAAATTCCGCCTCCTGGATTCAAGCGATTCTCCTGCCTCAGCTTCCTGAGTATCTGGGACTACAAGCGCCCGCCACCACATTCGAGTATTTTTTTTTTTTGTATTTTTAGTAGAGATGGGGCTTCACCATATTGGCCAGGCTGGTCGCAAACTCCTGACCTCAAGTGATCTGCCCGCCTTGGCCTCCCAAAGTCCTGGTATTACAGGCATGAGCCATGACAGTCAGCTATTTTTTTTGGCATATTTTAAGGGACAGAAATTATGCTTTTTAAATGTTGCTTATTGCTTTTCAAGGATTTGATTCTTATAAGCTACTTCTTCATTTATTAATGAGATTTAAGAAAGAAATCAGGTTACAAAGTTATGAGCAATTGTCTCTGGAACCCAGAAGTTGGTTTTAACACTAGAGTTTCTGCTGCAGGGCATTTTTACTGGACTGTGATTCCTAGAAGGCAAGTATAAGCACTGTTTTTTTGTTGTTTGTTTGTTTTAGAAACAAGTTCTTGCGTCACCCATGATAGAGTGCAGTAATGCAGTCATAGCTCACTGTAACCTCCAATTCGTGGGCTTAAGTGATCCTCCTACCTCATTCTTTTGAGCAGCTGGGACTCTAGGCATGTACCACCACACCCAGCTACTTTATAAATTTTTTGTAGAAGTGTGGTTTTGCTGTGTTGTCCAGAATAGTCTTGAGCAGTCTTCCCACCTCAGCCTCCCAAAATGCTGGGATTGTACAGGTAGGTGTGAGCCACCATGCCTATCCCTGCTGTTTTTTTTTGAGACGGAGTCTCTGTTCAAGCAATTCTCCTGCCTCAGCCTCCGGAGTAGCTGGGATTACAGGTGTGCACCATCATGCCCAGCTAATTTTTGTATTTTTAGTAGCGATGGGGTTTCACCATGTTGGCCAGGCTCATCTCGAACTCCTGACCTCAGGTGATCCACCCACCTCAGCCTCCCAATGTGCTGAGATTCCAGGCATGAGCCACCACACCCGGCCTGTCCCTACTTTTTTTAATGCCAAGATTTGTGTATTTCATCTTCAGTTGGGATTCATGGCATCTGTCAATAATTGATGTGAACTTAAATGGCAATTTACCTATAAAAAGATAACTTACTACTCTTCTTTTAAAAGTCTATATACTTCTGTCATTTGCTGGAAATGAATTATTAGTCTTTATTCAGCAAACATTTATAGACCAAATAGTGGGTACCAAAATAAGTACTACCCTGCAGCTGCTTGATGATGGTAATAACTAACATGTAAATCTTTAATAAACAGTGTACATTCTTAATCTGTCCATCAACTCGGTACAGTCAGTATTGTTGTCCGTATTTCACAGATTAAGACACCAGCCTAGAGGCCGAGTGCAGTGGCTCACGCCTGTAATCCCAGCACTTTGGGAGGCCCAGGCGGGTGGATCACCTTAGGTCAGGAGTTTAGGATAAGCCTGGCCATCATGGTGAAACCCCACCTCTACTAAAAATATAAAATTAGCCAGGTGTGGTGGCACGCACCTGTAATCCCAGCTGCTCGGGAGGCTGAGAGAGGAGAATCAGTTGAACCAGGGAGGCTGAGGTTGCAGTGAGCTGAGATCACACACCACTGCACTCCAGCCTGGGTGACAAGAGTAAAACTCCATCTCAAAAAAAAAAAAAAAAAAAAAAAAAAAAACAAGATGCCAGCCTAGAAATAAATGACCACCCCCCTGGTAAATTACGTAGCTAGTTTTGGTCTCCTTATTTCCAGATTTCATGTTTTATCACCCTGAGCTCCAAAGATGATACAGTATTTACTTTTAAGTGTATAAGGAAAAACTGAGTTTGGGCCTCAAACCAGCCCCAGGATTTCTTTATTTACCAATTATGAACTAGCCTCACTCAGTTCAGGAAGTCTCTTAAAATGTCAGTTATTTGGTTTCATCTTCTTAAAATGTAGAATTGCTTTATGTTATTTAAATATGGGTCCTTTTTTTTAATGAGTTAATTTGTTTGCTTTTCAAGATAATTTTGGATTCAAAGTTTTTAAGGTAACCTGGGATGCAAATTTTGCTAACTGGATTAATACAAATTTAAGTTTTTAAAATTCCATTGTTCAACTGTGTTTTATCCTGGATAGGATTAAAGCAGTCTTTAAAGGTAATCTGTTGTTGGCTTTAATGTTTTATAGTACAGTCTGGTGACACTTGGCTCACTAGTCCACATTTTTTGTATATTTGGTATATAGATTTTTTCCTTGGTAGTCACTTGTTTTTAACTTCTTTTTATATTTTACTTCCCAGTCTTAATCTCTGTAACCAATTTGTATAATCCCTTATACAGTTAGTCTCTTTATTTGTGGTATTATTTGAAGAGAAGTGTGTTTCCTGAGAGAGGATGTCATGTCCGTGCCCTAATTTTTAGTTACATGGCTTTTATTTGCATAAATAGCATGCGAGAAGGTAAAGGAAAATGTGGTTGCATCTTGTCCTGGTTGAGTGCCCACTAGTCTTAATGGATTTTCCCAGTTGTGCATACTTTAGGAGTAAGGATGTTGTCTTACGTTTATTTTCACTCCTTTTTAAAATGTGTATTGTTTTTGAAAGATAATGACTCCAAAATATCTATAATATCAAACAACCATTATGAAGTTAGAGAAATAATATTTAGATTATATTAAATTTTATTACCAGTGCAATTTATTTTTTTATAGTAATTAAGGAATCTAACTTTTTTTTGTTTTTTGAGACAGAGTCTCACTCTGTATGCCTAAGCTGGAGTGCAGTGGCGCAATCTTGGCTCACTGCAGCCTCGGCCTTCCAGGTTCAAATGATTCTCCTGCCTCAGCCTCCTGAGCACCTGGGATTACAGGCATGCACCACCAAACCCGACTGATTTTTGTATTTTTTAGTATAGACGGGGTTTCACCATGTTGGCCAGCTAGTGTCGAATTCCTCACTTCAAGTGATCTGCCTGCCTCGGCCCCGCAAAGTGCTGGGATTACAGACATGAGTCACCACGCCCAACCTAAGATGCTTTTAAAATTCCATTTATGTTTAATTCTTCAAAGTCTGGTACATGTAACATTATTATAACAAAACATTTTATAATTGAAAGGGACTTTAGGGATCTAGTCGAGAAGTCAAAAACTGCTGGACCAGGGTTCAGAGCTCTTATCTCTCAAATTGATTTTGTTGGTTTATACAATATTCATAATTTTTAGAATTCAAATGACTTTACCCGTAAAGCATTCACTCCCTACTTGACCACAGTCTATGTTATTACCTAATAAGACCTTAACTGCTTCAAGCGTTTACATGGTTACCTGGCTGATGTAAGTCATCTGAGTGTTCAGTATTTCCCCTTTCCCTCATTCCATCTTTTTGTAGACAAGGAATCTGGAAACCAAGAATTAAGTGATTTATCTCAAAATATACGACTTTTTAAATAGAGCTTCTTAAATTCAAAGTTAATGTTACTTTCTACAGCTTGTTGTCTCCTTAGAAAATAGTACAAGGTAATACGTAATCAAGTCCTAAAGTATTTGGTATAACTTGTCATGAAGGAGAATGATCACTGTGGGCTGAGTTAGTGCAAGAATGCTTCAGAGACATTTCCTTGACACTAACCTCCTAAGAACTGCATCTTGAGATATGCTGCCCTGATCTGTGTTGTTTTTGCTACACAGCTGAGGAAAAGAGGTACATATCCTCCTCTAAAGAGCTGGCACAGGAACTCACCAAAGGGCATTTTGTACATATTGAAAAACAGCACCTCATAAGACCAACTACATTTAGACTTCTCCAGAAATCCCATTTATGCCCCTTTTTGCAGAGGAAGGGGCTGGATTGACTCCCAAATCCAAATTTAACTTCAGCCACAAACTAATTAGCATGTCACCCCACCAAAGATTTTTTTTTTTTTTTGGGAGACTGAGTCCTGCTCTGTGCTAGGCTGGAGTGCAGTGGCACAATCTCAGCTCACTGTAGCCTCTGCCTCCTGGGTTCAAGCGATTCTCCTGCCTCAGCCTCCTGAGTAGCTGGGATTACAGGCATGCACCACCACAACCGGCTAATTTTTGTATTTTTAGTAGAGATGGGGTTTCACCATGTTGGTCAGGATGGTCTCCATCTCCTGACCTCGTGATCCACCCACCTCAGCCTCCCAGAGTGCTGGGATTACAGGCATGAGCCACCATGCCCGGCCCAAAGATGATTTTTTAAATGCTCAACAGGACAAAGCCTAATGGTAGTCTTTTGTTAAAAACAAAATTTAATATCAATCCATTGACAGGACTCTTTGTGTACTGAGCTATATAGTAATTTCACCTTAATAGAAGTTCTTCATAACCACCCCATATAAAACCATCCATTCTTATCTCTTTTTTTTTTCTCCATACTGCTTATCACAGCTGACACTTTATACTGACTTTGTTTCCCCCTCTATACCCTTTACTCCAGATTATAAATTCTGAGGACAGGGTCTTTCTTTCACTGCTTTATATTCCCACTGCCTAGAATAGTGCCTAACATATATTAGGTACTCATTATATATTTATTGATGTCAAATATTGATTGCTGTATTATAGTAGTGTTAATGGAAGGTGTCATTTCTTAGATTTTCTTTTCTGACCAGCACAGTTCTTGGGTTGATGGAGTATGTCCTCAATAAATCTCAGCATCAAATAAACAAGAATTTTCTTTTTAATACATAAATTTGTCATTTTGTTACGCTTTTTAGTTTCCTCAGTGATTTTTTAGAATAATTCTTGTTCATAATTTGGATCAGTAATATCTACAGTTGAATCTTAGGAAGAATGTTATAGGCAATCCAGAATGTTGGATAATTAAATCAGTTATTTGCATTTTGATGTGTAATATAGTGAACACATTTAGACAAAAAAAAAGCTACCCCATAAGACCAGTTTTTATTTTCTTTGATTCATGTCTTCAGGATTTTCTGTTAACTCAGAATTATTATAGCATTCATTATTGTTTTGTGAAAATACTAGTTAATAATCTCCGGTTAATGAAATAATTATCTTAGATAAATTTACTGAACTTAATGTAGAATATGTTTTTTGTTTCGTTTTGTTTTTGAGACAGGGTCTCACTTGTCACCCAGGCTGGAGTGCAGTGGCACAAACATGGGTCACTGCAGCCTCGACTCCTGGGCTCGAGTGATGCTCCCACCTCAGCCTCTCAAGTAGCTGGGACTACAGGTGTGTGCCACTACACTTGGCTAATTTTCATATTTTTTGTAGAGACGGGGTTTCACCATGTTGCCCGGGCTGGTCTTGAACTCCTCCTGAGTTAAAGCAGTCTGCTTGTCTCTGTCTGCCAGAGTGCTGGCATTATAGGCATGAGCCACCACCCCCTTCTTCCACTTTCATTTCAAACAGTTATGAAGCAGCCACTGAAACCGGACTCTCGACAATGCCAAAGGAGGTTTTGTTTTCTTGTCTTTCCATGTCTTTGCTGTGGTTTGCTCTGAAACTAGAATTAAACAGCTTTTTAAATTGATAAAAAAGAACCAATGCAAATAAAACTACGGTCTGTAGAGTAAATGGAAAAAGTTGTAGAAGTAATAATAAACTACTTTTAAACAAATGAGTAAGGTAGTAGATATTTTGCAAGAAGTAAATAGCCAAGTGTAAAAGCTGTCAGTTACTTTCATCAATCAGGTTAGTTGCAGTCACGCAAATTTTAGGTGATTATATAAGGAACTCAAATTAGGAATCTTTAAATGTAAATGACCTAATACTAAAAACTACCCAAAAAATATATTCAAAGATAAATAGAAGAAATACTTATGCATTTGAAAAAATCGATGCATTCCACAGTTCCTCTGAATCAAAGGTAAAAAAAAAAAACAGTGTAGAAAATACTTTGAACAGTAGTGGAATTTTTAGTATTTTGATAGCTTTCTTTAGAAATTTAATTGATTTTCTTCATCTGTAATCTTAGATTGTGTTGGAGAGGCAGTGTGAATCATGCATAAAGTTTATAATTGTGTATGTGCCTACATGATGTAGAAATTGCACCTTTTGGCTGATGAAGTATCGTATAGTTGCACTGTTGATAACATTAAGTTCATTTCGCATATATGCTACAGTCTTTTCTGTTTAACGCGTTGAGTAAAATGAAGATCCAGGAGTCCCTCATTAGTTGGTATAATTGGTTAATTCATAGACTAAAGATGAATACAAATGTACTACATTTGCAGATTAACTCATACATAGGCATATTATTGTTAACTAGCAATTCTTAACTGTACAGATAGTTTCAAACTGCATCCAGTTTTTACAAATAAATGCTCTTGTTTATAAGGAATACCATAAAGAGAGCACATGTAAATGAAGAAAATCTTGTCACTTATACTGGAAATTCAAGCGAGAATGATATTAAAAAAAAAGTTGTTAAAGGCAACACAAGAAGTTAAATGAAACTGAGTTAGCAATGAGAGATATTGGCTAATTTACTGTGCCTAAAATTATGGTGCTATTGGTCTACTGTATAATTATTATTTTTAATGTCCAGAATGTGTAATACAAGGGCCAGAACTTCCTCCTGGACTCAATTTTATAAATTCTCGATTAGTTGGTGAGGCCAATAAGGATACTTTTTCTCGTCTAATTTGGTTTCTGGGAAAGCTTCGTTCAAGTCCTCAGTGGTCATCTGATCAAATGGAATTAAGTTCTTCATCTTCTCCATCTGTTTCTCATATTCTACAATCCTGGCCTTTGAGAGAGACACCCACTCAGCACAAGATTTCACATCTTTTTCTTCGGCATCCACCTGCGCAGTATATTTATCCTCTGGCACGGGAACCTTCAGGGCATTAAACTTCTTAAAGTCATCCACCAAACCGGCCTTGGCCACGTTGGCCTTGTAGTAAGCCCAGTCGATAACCGGTGGATTCTCAGGTAAAGCAGCCAACCTGGAGGTGAGGGTCTCATTCCAGGATTTCAGGAAACTAGCAATGGCCTTTTGGTTCTGGGGTATGATCTCTGCAAAAGCTACTCAGTCAGTGGTTTTTAGAGCAAGTTTTCGCCCAGCCATGTTGGGATTCTTCACCGACCCTGGCTGCCCACGGTCCACTGCAGCCGCCTTTAACTTCTTGAAGGTTGTTCATCTTAAAATTTCTTTCAGAGTTTTTCTGTTGATTATAGTTTTTGTTTTTCTTCCAAAATCTCTTCACTTTAAATGGTAGTACATGGCAGTAATACCTTCTAATAGTCAGAACTCTTAATAATTTATAATATCAGGTATTCTAGTATTACTTCCTATCCTCTTTTTGACTTAATCCTTATTTTCTACTGATGTACAAGTAGTTAAAAATGAGCAAGCTTCTCAGAATGTAATCATTTACTTGTGGCACACCAGTTAAAGTACTAACTTAAGTCCTTTGCTACCATATTTATCTTTTCATTCTAGATAAATTTTTTGCTTGCTAATTGTAAATATTGCATTGATATAAGATAGGTATTTAAAATGTCAGTATTTACATTGAGTATTTCTTTTTCTATAAAGCACTTAAAATATATTTAATGTTGTAATTTTCAGTAGTTAAGCATCTCTTAGTCCTTTTTGAGAAGTGTTTTCTGAGAAGTAATTAAGACTTAAAGAATAGAATTAAACTTTAATTGATTCTTTTATGCTTACCTGTTTGTTTCTTTAAAAAGGTACCCTCACCATTAGTTTATTAATCCAGTACTTTTCCAACATCAATATTTTATAGTTACTCTATGAGTTGAGTGGCTAAACTTGGTATTTTTGAGTTTTCTAAAGTCTACTTCTTAAAAATGCCAGTAATTATCAGCATTCTTATAATAATATTGGGGTAGTTATAGAACAACTTCACAATTCCTCTGTTAACTTCAGTTTTTGTTTCATTTGTTTTATAATTTTTTCTATTTATTAACAATAGAACTGTCAGGAAAAAAAATAAGCAAAAGGAAAAGAAAATTCCCTATCCCCCCACCTTGTCATGTATTTTTTTTCTTTTTTTTATTCCAGGGAATTGAAATTCATTTTCTATTATAATCTCAAGATTTTTTCCGTACTCTTGAGGTAATGTAATAATGAGATTCCTCCTAGGCTGTCAAAATTACAGTCTGCATAACTTGAGGTACAATAGATTTCATTAAGACTTCTGTGATTAATATTAGCGGTCAGAGACAATGCCAATATTACAGGATTTTTGTTTAGTAATGTGTTTTTTAAATACTTAAAAGAGGGCTATTTCCCAGTCATTATCTCTGAACATTTTTAAATGATTCAAAATACTGATGTATGCACAGGTTTTTGCTTTTTTATATTGACATGGAGGGTTCTTACATGTTTTTGAGCTAGTAGATTAAAGAGTGGAACAGTGGGCCGGGCACGGTGGCTCACGCCTGTAATCCCAGCACTTTGGGAGGCCAAGGCGGGCGGATCAGGAGATTGAGACCAATCTGGCTAACGCGGTGAAACCCCGTCTCTACTAAAAAAATACAAAAAATTAGCTGGGCGTGATGGTGGGCACCTGTAGTCCCAGCTACTCAGGAGGCTGAGGCAGGAGAATGGCATGAACCTGGGAGGCGGAGGTTGCAGTGAGTCGAGATGGCGCCACTGCACTCCAGCCTGGGTGACAGAGCAAGACTCCATCTCAAAAAAAAAAGTCGAGCAGTGATTCTCAACTGAAGGAATAGCAGTCCTCTTTAGTGTACTGAGTGGCAGCTCAAACCATTGTTACTCTTATTTTAAAAGTTACTTTTTTTTTTTTTTTTTTTTGAGATGGAGTCTTGCTGTGTCGCCCAGGCTGGAGTGCAGTGGTGCGATCTGGGCTCACTGCAACCTCCACCTCCTGGGTTCAAGCAGTTCTCCTGCCTCAGCCTTCCGAGTAAGTAGGATTACAGGCATGTGCCACCACACCCGGCTAATTTTGTATTTTTAGTAGAGGCTTTGCCATGTTGGCCAGGCTGGTCTTGAACTTCTGACCAGCCTGGTCCAGCTGGTCCAGTGATCCAACCGCCTCGGCCTCCCAAAGTGCTGGGATTACAGGCGTGAGCCACCACGCCTGGCCTGAAATTTATCTTTTGTTGACGAGTATGTGCAAGGTGTTGTGTCAGTGACTCTGAAGAATTACTACATTTCTTTCCTTATTCTTTCTTTAATTTATTGATCACATATTTCAGGCACAGTTTCAGGTTCTGGGAATATGGCAGTGAGTAAAACAAAAAAAATCCCTATCCTCATGGAGTTTACATTCTTTGTAATCCATCTCACAACCTTATCATGTAGCTGTTACTATCTTAATTTTACCTGGAAGGAAAGTGAGGCTCTGAAAGGTTTCGTGACTTGCCCAAGATTATAGAAAACCACAATTTGAAACTTAGGTACCATTAGCCACTATGCTGTGCTGTCAAAATTGTCCCCCCATGGGGTTCTGTGAAAGAGAACAATTAGTCTCAATGTCTCAAATAGTAGTTGTCACAAATGTCTTTGAAAATCTGATGTAACTATTCCCATTTTTAATTGTGCATGAAATTTTAGGGAATTGACATATTTCAAAGTGCTCATTCTTAACCTGAGCTAAGGACTTCAGGAAAAGAACACTTGAACAGAAAGGTTATGCCTAAAGATCACAAATACGCTATACAAATAACAGGTGCTACAGCTCTTTCCCAGTCCCTACCAGCACCACAAGCCAATTATGTTGCTTATTGAACAGAGTTGTCTTTTCTGCAAAACTAGATGCAACCACACCATCCTAAAAACAGGATAATGGCTGTTGCCAGTCAGTCAGAGTTGGCATTCGCAATAAAAATCTGTTTTTCAGTCTTTTCAAGGCTGGTGTAGTAGAAAGCACAGATTTGAAAAATACTGATTCAAATCTTGACTATTGTACTGTTGGGTTTTTTTTGTTTTGTTTTGCTGTTTAAGGTAACAGAAATACCCTGATAATATCCCCAAACTGGAAATCAGCTGGTGTGAATGGGTAAAGAAAATATCATGTATTCATGTGGTATATTTTAATCAACAGTAATAAATAAAAGGAGCAAGTTACTGATAGATACAATAATATGGATGAACCTGACTCATTCTAGCAACAAATAATAATGCTCATTCATGGATAAATGAAGCAGCTGGGAAAAAGAGTCCCAGTCACCTCACTAAGAAGTGTAGCTCCCACAGCCAACTCAGCCACCTTTGTGAAATAAGAAAGGCATACGTCTCTTAGAAAAATCACCTCTGATAAATGTATAGTTTTTATATTCAGTATTTTAAAATTGTAGTTTTTATGTTGTTTCGGTCAGTTGTGTTATGTTTGGAGGTTTTAGTGAATATATAGTTATGCAGCCATCACTACAACCAGTTTTTGGTGTGTTTTTTTTTTTGAGATGGAGTGTTGCAGTCTCACCGGGGCTGGAGTGCAGTGGCACGATCTCAGCTTACTGCAACCTCCACTTCTCGGGTTCACTCGATTCTCCTGCCTTAGCCTCCCGAGTAGCTGGGATTACATGTGCCCACCACCATGCCCAGCTAATTTTTGTACTTTTAGTAGAAACGGGGTTTCACCATATTGGCCAGGCTGAACTCCTGACCTTGTGATCCGCCTGCCTCAGCCTCCCAAAGTGCTAGGATTACAGGTGTGGGCCACTGCGCCCGGCCCACTACAACTAGTTTTTAGAACACTTCCATCACCCCCAAAAGGTTTCCTGTGACTATATGTAGTCAGTCCCACTCTCACTCCCAGTGGAGGAAGGGTGGAGAATTGGATGCTCATATTTCCTTTGGAGCAGCAATAATGAACAGATTTGGGGTTATTGTACTTCCATTTGTTAGTGAACATGCAACATCAGTTCCTCCTGTGGCTCTGTTTGTACAAGTAGCCTCATCTGTGGGCTTGCATTTCTTCGAAAACAAAGACCTTTTTATTTAGTTTTTTCTAGTTTGTTTGTAAGACTCTGAAAATCTCAACCATTGTAGATTTTTTCGGATTACCAATTTTCCATTTTAGGTTTCCTATTTCAGACCTGAACCCATATACAAAAAGAAAGGCCATCTCTTTACTTTAACTGTTGGGTCTTTGCCAGAATACTTTTGAAAATTTCCTTAAATCAATTTTTATTTTGTATCCTATTGAATCTTTTTGAGACAGAATCTCACTGTGTTGCCCAGGCTGGACTCCAGTGGTGTGATCTCAGCTCACTGCAACCTCCACCTCCCAGGTTCAAGCGATTCTCATGCCTCGGCTTTGCGAGTAGCTGTGATTACAGGCGTGTACCACCACACCCAGCTAATTTTTGTCTTTTTTTGTAGAAACAGGGTTTTGAAGCCGGGTGTGGTGGCTCACGCCTGTAATCCCAGCACTTTGGGAGGCCGAGGCAGGTGGATCATGAGGTCAAGAGATCGAGACCATCCTGGCCAACATGGTGAAGCCCTGTCCCTGCCCCCCACTCCACTCCCCGCCCCCCCCCCCCCCCCCAAAAAAGGGTTTTGCCATGTTGGCCAGGCTGGTCTTGAGCTCCTGATTTCAAGTGATCCACCCACCTCAGCCTCCCAAAGTGCTGGGATTACAGACATGAGCCACCACATCTGGCCGAGTTCTTGATTACCTAAGCTATCCTGGTCAGATACACTGCTCTTTTTTTCCCTTTTTTTTTTTTTTAATTTCCCCAACCTTGCTAGACTGCTGGTCTTACAGGATTTTGGGGAATTAGGAAGTTCCATGGTTGGCAAACTTTCAAAGACAGGAGCAGGTTAATGTTAGCTATAGAAGCACTGTCACTCAAGTGAAGACAGTTGTTGATTGGTTGGCTTTGGGATGTGTCTGTTTAACAGGCCATTTTTGATTGCCTGAGTTTCAGAAGTAAGGAACCCTCATTAGTTGGTTAGTTTGTAGAAGCATATCCTCTGAGGCAAATTGTTATTAGTTGATTAAAATCATTTAAATCAGTTATAGTAGCTTTGTTAACCATGACCCAAAAAACTGTCATTTCTTGATCAGAAGTTTTAAAATCTGTTCTGGTTGCTACCTTTGTACCACTTTACTGACTCTTTAGTTTTTTTCTAGGAATGTAGGAGCCTTTTATTCTCATGTAATGCCCCCACCCTGGAATCCTTGAAGACCTTCTGTCTATTGTTCATATACTGAAATTTTATAATGATAAGCCTTGGTATGGATTGTTTCTTTCTGGATATATTTTGTTTTTATTTCTACTATTTCATCATACTAAACATTCTAAGTAGACGTTTTCAGTCTGGGAACTCATATTCTTCAGTTCTGCCTCTGATTCAAGACCATTTTCAGGTTGTCTGTACGTTCCCCACTTTAGGAATAAATATTTGGTCTTCTGCTTCCTCTACCAACATATTATATTTACCATTTATGTATGCCAGGGCTTGGCCAGATACGTAAATATTTAGGCTCTGTTGTAACTACTTTGCTGTTACAGCACAGAAGAAACCACAGACAATACACAAATGAGTGGATATGGCTGTGTTTGAGTAAAACTTGATGTAACAAAACAGGTGATAGGTTGGATTTCTTTTCAGACCTGTGCTCTATCCTGGATCGGGCTCAAAGTCATGTCTGTAATTCTGTAGTTTTCTTCTACCTCTGAGCATCTTTTAATAAGTCTGCTTATAGGGTGCTCCATACTAGGGTTGTATAGTAATCATTTTAAATAAATCTATTTTCCTGAATGTTTTATTTCTGTGAAAAGCACAGGAATACACAACTTTACTTAGAATTCTTTTTTTTTTTTTCCTTTAATAAGGTACTAGGTTTTGACAAGCTTGCATCATGCGTGAGTATAAGCTAGTCGTTCTTGGCTCAGGAGGCGTTGGAAAGTCTGCTTTGGTAAGTCATTCTTACTTTACCTAAGCCTTTCACTCCAAGACGTTCTTTTTCTGTTGAGTTTTAGGTTTTGATGATTTGTCTTTGTTAAGATAAAATTCCTTAATGACTTTAGAAGCAATATAATATTTTTCTTGTAATTTTATTCAACTTTTAATTATATCTGGGTGGATCATATTCTCTCTGGAACATTGACTCCAGAATGACACGAGTTATGCTGGAATACAATTTGAGCTAAGCACAGAGATTGAGAGCGTACAAATACATGTCTTTTTGCATTCGCATTTCAGAGCCAGATAGGAATAAATTTTGGTCTTTTTATTTATTTATTTTTTTGAAACAGGGTCTCACTCTGTTGCCCAGGCTAGGGCTCAAGTGATCTCAGCCTCCTGAATGCTTGGGACTACAGGCACGTGCCACCATGCCAGGCTAATTTTTAAAATTTTTTGTAGAGATGGCGTCTTGCTATATTGCTTAGGCTGGTCTTAAACTCCTGGCCTCAAGTAATCCACCTTTGCCTCCCAAAGTGCTGGAATTACAGGCATAAATCACCATGCCTGGCTTGCTCTTTCTTCTTATGAATAGTCTTACCCTGTACATTTTATGTTAGAAAATATCAAAGCTTATAAAAAGTCTTCAAATATTACCTTTGACTGTCCAGCTTTACATTTTTTAACGGCACGTTTTCTGCATCAAGGAATGGTATAGCAAGAATGAAGACATAACTGGGTAATGAGGGTTGGGAAAGAGGAAAAACGTAGGGAAAATAATTTGATGAATAGTTCAGAGCTTAGCAAAGCCTCACAAGCAAATAGATTGACCTTCTGTCTCACTCATAAGATAAACCATCTTGGCCACTTAGAAAGGCCACCTAGCTGAGAAGTGTCATGCTTGGAACAAACTGAGAAGTACATACAATGTGAAATGAACTGCTTTTTCATTTGTATCCAAAGTGATGGGGAGGTCAGTTGATCCTGCATGTATGTGTGTATACATAACAATTAGTCAATTTCTAATTTAAAAATCAAATTTAAGCTCTTAAGACTGAAACAATGCCGGCACAGTGGCTCACGCCTGTAATCCCAGCACTTTGGGAGGCTGAGGTGGGCGGATCACCTGAGGTCAGGAGTTCGAGAGCAGCCTGGCCAATATAGTGAAACCCCGTCTCTACTAAAAATATAAAAATTAGCCAGGTGTGGTGGTGCATGCCTGTAATCCCAGCTACTCGGGAGGCTGATGTGGGAGAATGGCCTGAACCCGGGAGGCAGAGGTTGCAGTGAGCCAAAATTGCGTCACTGCACTTCAGCCTGGGAGACAGAGCAAGACTCTGTCTCAAAGAAAAAAAACAAAGGACTGAAACCAGAGACATTTAAAATTTTTTAATATATGATCTCTAAATTTAGAATTACCCAATAAGGAGCATAGTGATTATTTATTTAAAAATAAACAGCTTCCTGAGGTAATTTTCTTACCAAATGTACACATTCGAATGTAGTATTGGCTGTGGTTTTTTTTTTCATTGATGGTGTAACTCCCTGTGTGAACTCAGTTTACAATTACATTAAAGATTGAATGTACTCTTTTCTTTAGAAGTATAATGGTTTCTTAATTTTTTTTTCAGACTGTACAATTTGTTCAAGGAATTTTTGTAGAAAAATACGATCCTACGATAGAAGATTCTTATAGAAAGGTATATATTACTTTGGAAGGCCTTTTGCTTTTGATTTTAATATAAATACTTATTTTAGCTTTATAATTATTGAATGTTTTATACAAAGGATGGAGGCAGAGTTAATTTATAAAATTAGTGGGAAAAGTTTACACTTTCTGGCATTGCATAGTTACCAGTTTAAGAGGATCATAAACACCCATACTCTCACATATTCACAGAATTTTTTGTAATTTGACACATAAACTTTAAAGCAGACCATCCATTTCAAGTAGTAGCCCCATGTTACTTTCAGTCCCCTACCTAGCAAGACTGATTACTCTCAAGCTCCCTTCTTTTTAACCTAGAAATAGGTGGACACAGGTCTTCCTAAGCTTTCTACTTACTAACCTCTTGAGAAAGTGCCACCACTCACAATACTGGTTGAATATCCCTTATCTGAAATAACTGGGACCAGAAGTATTTCAGATTTCAGATTATTTTCTGATTTTAGAATATTTGTATATACATAATGAAATAGAATGGGACCCACATCTAAACAATTCATGGTTTCATATACACCTCATACACATAATCTTACATAATATTTTTAATATTCTTATGCATGATACAAAGTTTTGGCTGCATTTTGACTGTGACTGGTCACATGAGCTCATGTGTGGAATTTTCCACTTGTAGCGTGATGTTCCACACATGGCTCAAAAACTTTTGGATTTGGAACATTGCAAGTTTTGGATTTTTAGATTAGGGATGCTCAGCCTATAGAAAGGTGAATTCCTGTGTCCACTAACAGCATGTGACAATAAAACAATGTGTAGACATTTTTAACTTAGTAGGGAAAGAGGTATTTCCCAACCTCTATGAAGCAGCCAACCTGGCCCCGCTGTTGCACAAATACTGTGTTTCCATTCCTCCCTCCATGTGCATAGTCTACCAAAAAAAAAACTGGAAACTTTTGCACCCCAGCTGTGAGACAGTATTACTCTTTTCTTTCTACATCTAATTCTAAATACCTATTTTTCCCTAGGAAATATTAGATGGAAAGGGGTAACAGGGATATATGTGTAATTTATTTAATAGCTGTGCCACTGCTTCCTTAATTCCAGAAATCTTGTTCCAGTATGGTGAGGGCATATAGTTACCTAGAGAAATGAGGTATATCTAAAGTATCATGGGAGAATTTAGACAGAATTACTTATGATACTGTTGGAACTGTTGCTGGTTTTGTTTGTTTATTTGAGCTATTTCGAAACTATTTTTTTCTCTAGAATTAAGTGCTGAGAATCCATATTGAGACTGGTTCGTGTAGGTTTCCCTGTGTTGACTTGAGAACACATGGCTTTTGAACTTGATTACAATTTGGGGGTCTTTGAATCTTGATTACTTAGCTATTTTTCCTCCTGCTTTGTTGAAGTATTGCTGGATATTAGTTTGTAAAGTTGTTAAAATCTGTGTGTCTTATTTTTGATACATTAGCTTTTTTGTGTATATTAAGGTAGTTTTATGTACATTGAAAAAATGAACATGTATTTTAATTTTTCTACCAGCAAGTTGAAGTAGATGCACAACAGTGTATGCTTGAAATCTTGGATACTGCAGGAACGGTAGGTAAAACTAAATACCAAAGTATATACACCGTTTGTACAGTATTGACTTCATAAATGCTAGTACTCTATAGACAAATATTAGTTAAGCTTATTTAAAAGTACTGCTTGCAGCCGGTTGTAGTGGCTCACACCTCTATTCCCAGCACTTCGGGAGGTCAAGGTTGCTGGATCACTTGAGGTCAGGAGTTCGAGACCAGCCTGGCCAACATAGTGAAACCCCATCTCTACTAAAAATACAAAAATTAGCCAGGTGTGGTGGTGGGAGCCTGTAATCCCAGCTACTCAGGAGGCTGAGGCAGGAGAATCTCTTGAACCCAGGAGGCAGAGGTTGCAGTGAGCCAAGACTGTGGAGATTGTGCCACTGCATTCCAGCCTGGGTGACAGAGCGAGACTCTGTGTCAAAAAAAAACATAAGACTACTAGTTGCTAAACTTTAAATCTTTTTGTTGTTGTTCCGTTGAATCCTTAATTTTATATTGGCCGGGCGCAGTGGCTCACGCCTGTAATCCCAGCACTTTGGGAGGCCAAGGTGGGTGGATCACTTAAGGTGAGGAGTTCAAGGCCAGCCTGGGCAACACAGTGAAACCCCGTATCTACTAAAAATATAAAAAAAATTAGCCGGGCGTGGTGTTACACACCTGTAATCCCAGTTACTTGGGAGGCTGAGGCAGGAGAATAGCTTGAACCCGGGAGGCGGAGGAAGTATATTGCACTTTTTGTAATTGCAGTGGGTCAGTTATTGAAAAGTTTAGAAAATGTGTTAGAAGAAAAATTTTCAGTCTCACTAGTACTTTTAAAACAATATATTACCATATTTCAAATAATACAGGCATACATTCATTCATCAGCAGCTGTGTGAAATATTTTGATTGAGCTGGGTATGATGGCTCATGCCTTGTAATCCCAGCACTTTGGGAGGTCAAAGGGGGGTGGATCACCTGAGGTCAGGAGTTCAAGACCAGCCTGGCTAACATGGTGAAACCCGTCTCTATTAAAATACAAAAATTAGCCAGGTGCAGTGGCAGGCACCTGTAGTCCCAGCTACTCGGGAGGCTGAGGCAGGAGAATCGCTTGAACCCTGGAGGTAGAGGTTGCAGTGAGCTGATAACACACCACTGCACTCCAGCTTGGGTGACAGAGTGAGACTCCATTTCAAAAGAAAAAGAAATATTTTGATTGGTATCTGTTCTCCTTCAACGTATTTATAGACAAACTAAATTTGTAGGTATGTGAAGATGAAGGGAAGATTTGTTCTCGGTGTATGGTATTCATTCAGCTAATGTTTGAATACCTGATACATGTCAGGCACTGTGTTGTTACCTTCAAATGCTCACAGTCTAGCAAAGAAAAAGTAGTGTGGGAAAATGGGATGGTCTAGATCATGCTGATGGAGCCCTACAGAACTACAGCATTTGAGTCATAGCTAATAGATTAACTTGGCAGATACAGTTGGGGTGCTTTATACATGATGATGTATTTTAAAAGCTGCCTTTAGTAACTTTTGGGGACAGGATATTTCTGTTCCACTTGAGTATATTTTTTGTATATAAATCGACTTTGGTGTATTGTTTTTAAATAGGAAACCTATTTCCAGCTGGGCGTGGTAGTTCACGCCTGTAATCCCAGCACTTTGGGAGGCCGAGACGGGCAGATCACAAGGTCAGGAGATGGAGATCATCCTGGCTAACATGGTGAAAGCCCGTCTCTACCGAAATACAAGAAAAAAATTAGCCGGGCATGGTGGTGTGCGCCTGTTGTCCCAGCTACTCGGGAGGCTGAGGCAGGGGAATCACTTGAGCCCGGGAGGCAGAGGTTGCAGTGAGCCGAGGTCGCGCCACTGCACTCCAGCGTGGTGACAGAGCAAGACTCCGTCTCAAAAAAAAAAAGAAACTAAAATGCCAATTTTTTCAAATAGTATCTTGTCATAGATTATAATTTTAACAAAGTTACATAATACTACAGTATTCTTCATTGAGCTATAATTATAGACTGTGAAAATTGTAAAAATAACTGTCAAAACATTATTGTTTTTTAACGTTCCTTTCTTTCTATTGTAGGAGCAATTTACAGCAATGAGGGATTTATACATGAAAAATGGACAAGGATTTGCATTAGTTTATTCCATCACAGCACAGTCCACATTTAACGATTTACAAGACCTGAGAGAACAGATTCTTCGAGTTAAAGACACTGATGATGTAAGCTGACTTCCAAATAAATATATTTTATTTCAAAACCCTGATTATAATTGTTTAAGTCTAAATTTAAATTCATTTTAAAGCTTGTGTATTTTGGTTGGGGGGGGGGTGTTGGTTTTTTTAAACTTTTTCCTTGAAAGGCAAAAATACCCATACATGTTTTCAAATATATATCATGTGGAAAGTGAGAAATTTCCTCCTTTGCCATTATCCTGTGAAAATTAAATGTTACACCCTTCCTTTTTTTTTTTTCCTTTGAGATGGAGTCTTGCACTGTTGCCCAGGCTGAAGTGCTGTGGTGCGATAGCTGTACCTCCCGGGTTCACGCCATTCTCCTGCCTCAGCCTCCCGGGTAGCTGGGACTACAGGCGCCTGCCACCATGCCCAGCTAGTTTTTTGTATTTTTAGTAGAGACAGGGTTTCACCATGTTAGCCAGGATGGTCTCGATCTCCTGACCTTGTGATCCGCCTGCCTCAGCCTCCCAAAGTGCTGGGATTTTAAAGGCAAGAAATACATTAGATTCTAACATTATTAATTTAGGTGCCCCTTCAGAGTCTACCATAATGGAGTTTAATTCCTCATCACACTAAATATAGCAGTGGTTCTCAAAATTGATTTTGCATCAGAATCACCTGTAGGACCAGTTAAAACAGATTGCTGGGCTGAGATCTCAGAGCTTCTGATTCAGTAGGTCAGCAGTAGGACCCAGGAATTTGCATTTCTAACAAGTTTCGAAGTGGTGTTGGTTTTGCTGATCTGCATACTGTAAGAACCAGGCTGGGCATGGTGGCTCACACCTCTAATCCCAGCACTTTGGGAGGCCAAGGCGGGTAGATCCCCTGAGCTCAGGAGTTCAAGACCTCCCTGGGCAACATAGCAAAACCCTGCCTTTACCAGAAATTTAAAAAAAAAAAAATTAGCCAGCATGGTGGCGCGTGCCTGTGGTCTCAGCTATTTGGGAGGCTGAGGTGGGAGGATCACTTAAGCCTGGGAGGTGGAGGTTGGCAGTGAGCTGAGATCACATCACTGCACTCCATCTAGGGTGACATAGTGAGACCCTGTCTCAAAATAAATACATAAATAAGACTCATTGTACTGCAGTTTAATTTTAGCAAATATTGTGAGAGCTGGGAGACACCCATGGTAAATGCTTTTATTTTCTGGACTTCTGAAACAAGGGAATTTGGGGGGACCCTACATAATTACAGCAACCTCAGGGAACATTTTTTAATTTGTAAATCCATTTAATAAGTGGCTTGATTTTTAGTAAATTTTGATTGGCTTTTTTTTTTTTTTTTTTGAGACGGAGTCTCACCCTGTCGCCCAGGCTGGAGTGCAATGGCACGATCTCAGCTCACTGCAACCTCTGCCTCCCAAGTTCAAGCAATTCTCCTGTGTCAGCCTCCCAAGTAGCTGGAATTACAGGCGTGTGTCACCATACCCAGCTAATTTTTGTGTTTTTAGTAGAAACAGGGTTTCGCCATGTTGGCCAGGCTGGTCTCCAACTCCTGACCTCAGGTGATCCACCCGCCTCGGCCTCCCAAAGTGCTGGGATTACAGGCGTGAGCCACTGTGCCTGGCCTTGATTGACTTTTTTAATACAAGACTATGAGAAACTAAAAATTCTATTTTGGGAGCCTTCCGTCCATTATGATAAAATTTTAAGGTTTTTTCCCCCCATCTCTCATAACAGGATCATAGCTTGTTTTCTCAAAAGTTTATGTAAAAGTGTCTTATTTATGTCTACATTGACTAGGTTGTGTTCATTTTACTTAACATATGAGAGTTTTCTTTCTCTCTTTTCTTCCCTTTGGAGTTATCGTTTGCATCTCCATGAAAAGAGAAGGCAGTGGAGATAATTGACATCAAAGTTAATACTTATGTTTATGTTACAGATTAAATTGTTAAGGCTGTAAATTTTATTATACATTATTTAATATTTTTTGTGGCATATGAAAAGTAATTCTTAGATTTGACTCTTAGAATTCTTTTGATTTGAATTCATATAGCATATTTACTTATTTATTTTTACTCTCACAAATGTATTTTTAGGTTCCAATGATTCTTGTTGGTAATAAGTGTGACTTGGAAGATGAAAGAGTTGTAGGGAAGGAACAAGGTCAAAATCTAGCAAGACAATGGAACAACTGTGCATTCTTAGAATCTTCTGCAAAATCAAAAATAAATGTTAATGAGGTATGGTCAAATATACTTAAAATGGGTCTTCATTTGAAGTACAACATTGAAGATGAATGGAAAATGTCTTAACCCCAAGTTAATATGTACTCAGGGTAATATGTTGATGTTACAGGCAAAAAAAAAAAACCCTCATGTTAAATGTATCTATGTAGTAAATAAACAATACTATTTCAGTCTCTATTAAATACTTGTACATTGATATTTACCATGAAAAAGGAAGACTGGACAGAAAATACATGGATAGGGAAGACAGATTAAGACTTCAGGTATATGAAGGATGTTATATGAAAAATAGAGTAAAATTCCGAAAAGTATGCATGGTTCTTGAAAGGCTCCAAGTCATGTTGTAGAGCAAAAACTTACAGTTTTTAAAAGGATTTTTTCTTTGTGTGATGGTAAATGTTCTAATTGAACTAAGTTAAGATCTCTGCAGCTCCTTCAACTAAGTATTTTAAGGAGCACAATATTAACACTCCCCAAAAATTTGAGCTTGGCAGTTATAACACCTGATTTTATTCTCATTCCTTAGCTGAACAATTCTGGGCATTAATTTATATCCATGGAAATTTCTGTTTTTTCAATTTACTTTTTTCATTGGGGGGGATAGGTGTTCCTCCTGTAAATTAAAACAAATTATTGTATTTGCAGATCTTTTATGACCTAGTGCGGCAAATTAACAGAAAAACTCCAGTGCCTGGGAAGGCTCGCAAAAAGTCATCATGTCAGCTGCTTTAATATACTAAATGCATTGTAGCTCTGAGCCAGGTATGTTCACTTATCTTTCCTCTAACTTTTAATCACTCAACCTTATTAAGGGCACTCTGTCATGAAAGCAAGTATAGACTTCTTTTTGTTGGTTCTGAAAAATAAATGGTTTATTTTTATAAGATATCCATGAGTTAGTATGCTATCTTATTAATTATTTACTTATCATCATGAGTAAAGTATTTCACATAAGTATTCTTTTTTTGAGATGGAGTTTCACTCTGTCACCCAGGCTGGAGTGCAGTGGCGCAATATCAGCTCCCTGCAACCTCCGCCTCCCAGGTTCAAGCAATGCTTCTGCCTCAGCCTCCCGAGTAGCTGGGATTACAGGCACGTGCCACCACGCCCGGCTAGTTTTTTTGTATTTTTAGTAGAGATGGTGTTTCACCATTGTTGGCCAGGATGGTCTCAATCTCTTGACCTCGTGATCTGCCCACCTCGGCCTCCCAAAGTGCTGAGATTACAGGCGTGAGCCACCACTCCCAGCCAACCCCGTCCCTAATTTAAAACACACACACACACACACACACACACACACACACACACACACACACACGTGCGCGCGTGCGCGTGAGCCACCGCTCCCAGCCAACCGTCCCTAATTTAAAACACACACACACACACACACCCCTGACATGTTCATCATGTGCCAGTCACACACACACACACACCCCTGACATGTTCATCATGTGCCACTTTTTTTTTTTTCCTTCAACTTTTAAGTTCCAGGATACATGTGCAGGATGTGCAGGTTTGTTACATAGGTAAAGGTGTACCATGGGGTTTGCTGCACAGATCTTGCATCGGTACCTGGCACATAGTTAACACTCAACTATTAGCTGCTGCTGTTTGCCAATGATAATGGTTTCCTCTTCAGCTGTCATTAAACTGTTTATTGTTAAACTGTTAATTTATTCTTAAGAACCTTTGACATTCCTGACTCTTATTTCTTCCTATGTTAATTGACTCAGTGCTGCCATAGCACTTTGATTCTGCATCTTTTCAGAGTTTTTATTCCTGCCTTCCATCTAGGGCTTTCTGTTTAGTGGTATATCCTCTCATTCTAATATCCTATAATTCCTGACCACATGCCCATTCTTAGCAGCACACATGTGCTTGAGCTCACACACTTCCATCTGTCCTTTTTAATTTGCAACAGTCTGCCAGGATTTAGAAAACTTGATTGCAAACCTCATTCAGACTCAGAATGAGGACCTAAAGTTCTAGGCATTTGTGAAAATTATTTCAACAGCCACATATGTATTAACAACTCTTCTGGAGCTTGTAACAAGTCTGATCACCAGAAAAATATAATAGGGAACATTTTTTTAGCCGAGGCATGTATGCAGAAAACTATTCAAAGTACATATTTAACAATTCTAAGTTTACTTTTTAAAATCTTTAATTACATGTGATTTTAGTGTAATACCACCTTTTTCTGACATCAGTCTTAATAGAATGTTTAAATATGGAATTAGAAATTATATAACGTGATTGTAAATCTGTAAAACACCATCATGAAATAAATTCTATTTGTCTGCTCTGAACGAGCTTTTTAGCCACTTTCATTGAAAGAGTGAGGAAGAACTTGATTATCTGATACTAGAAACCTTGGTTAGATGTGCATTCTATACTTATGATCTAATTCTAGGAGTACATTACGATTGTGTAAACACAGGATCACCCAGTTTGTTAATATTGCTATCTGACTTTTCAATCCTAATTCTAATAAGGTTGACTTGACTAACAATTTTAATGTGATTTTTTTCCTTTTTAATCCTTGGAAGGTAATGCACAAAAATTTGCACAAAGGTACTTTCCCTTTCTGTTCCTAAGATTTTCATTTAACTGACTTTCAAGAGGGCAGCAGAATAGACTTCATCTTTTTGGAATGAAAAGGTCTGCCGTGAATTGTGGTATGTTGCCACTAATGTAATGCCTAGAACAAGAGCCTAGATTATATTCATTTCTAACACTTTTAAGACTGTTTTCTTAACTGTTTGCTTTTGGGTCTTTACTTTTTCTAGCCCATGTTTTTAATTAATTTTTTTCCTTTTGACAGGTCTGAAGAACTGTTGCCCAATTCAACAGTGCCAGCATTCCAACTTTGTTAAACCTACCAACATCTTAAATGGACTTTCCTGTGGTGGTACCCTTTAAGAGGCGGATGAAAGCTACTATATCAGTTTGCACATTCTAATCACTTTCCAGTATCACAAGAGAGATTTTTACTTATATAATAGTCCTAGAGTTTGCAGCTGGTAAAACCAGAGGCTACATCCAGTATTACTGCTAAGAGACATTCTTCATCCACCAATGTTGTACATGTATGAAAATGGTGTACTGTATACTTTAACATGCCCCATACTTTGTATTGGAGAGTACAATAATGTAAATCCTAAAAGCACCACTATTTTAGCATAATAAAAGAAAGTCCAAAGAGCTCCTATATAGACTACTCCAGATAACTTCGCTTCTTTGATACTTGTAGCTTATTGTAATTTTTTTTAAGAAATTCAAGGTCATTATTATTGTACAAAATAAGCGCTTTGATTAACACAGCTATATAGTTTTTTTAATTTTTAAAAAACCTGTGGAGACGGTGATCTTGTCTTTAAAACATGATAGTCCTTTCAGTATAATGTCTTAGATTAAAGACGTTGCCTTTAATATCTGTTGGGAAGGAAATGTCCAGACTTTTCAAATCTCTTATTATATGTTTCCTTTTTTTGTTTACATAGGGAACAATGTTTATAGTCGTGTGTACAGTGGGGGTCTACAACAAGAAGTGTATATTTTCAAACAATTTTTTAATGATTTAACAATTTTTGTAAATCATTTTCAGGCTTCTGCAGCTGTAGATTCTCACTGTGAATCCCTTGCTTGCTCATGCATAAGTGTATTTGCAATACCAAATATACAGGTTTAGTATTTTTGCCTGTTAGTGATTGTTTCACATGTGTAACGTTTTGGTTGAGATGTTAAATGGTGGACGAGTACTGTGGATGTGAATGTGGGAAGTAATTTTAATCATATGTAATTGGTCACAAGGCCTAATTTGCAGTAACTATTGCTGTTTTATTTAACAATGCCTTGTTGCTTTGTATGCATTAATGTTTGGATGTAAAGATTGTGTGTCTATCCAACAGGGAGCCACAGTATTTAAATTGACCAACCTAATGTTACAACTACTTTGAGGTGGCCAAATGTAAACTAAAAGCCTTAATTAAAGTGGTGCAATTTTGTATAACTTAGCATCAGTAGTTCAATAAATTTGGATTGCCATGCAAGGGCTTGCATTATAATTACTTGCCACTTGAATGTGTTTTGTGTAATGTTTTAACAGTGCTAGTAAATAAATACGGGTTTACCCTGGTTTTAATTGTAATAGGTGCATTTTACACAGCATGGTTTCATAATTTAACATCTGGGCAAGCCAGACTCATTAATTACAGGAATAAGGAAGTAGCGAGTTTTCTGGTATTGTTTGAATATCCACATAACCACCTTTTGAACTTTTCCTTGAGAAATAATTTTGTAAATCAAGCAGTATTACTTACGAATAAATGCCTTTGGGTAATGTTCAGTAGCTATTTGATGAGGTAGGTAAAAGAGGAACGATTTAACATACTTTCATGGATGTTACACTATGGATTTTTTAAAATACAGGATTGAAGTTAGAATATTGTGGTTATAAAAATCTTTGAGTGATGTGGATTAAGCACTTAGAGAATCGATATTTTTCTTAAATATGCTATAATTGAATTCTGTAAGAACTGAATTCTTATAGAATTATTTTAAAACTTTTTAAAAATTGTAAAGCTCTTAAAAAACTTTTTGAAAGTATTTGCCAGCTACTGGAGCAATTAATCAGTGATAATATCTAATAGAGGGGTATCTGCTAATCCCCTAAATACACGCTGTTTGAATGATACATTTTTAAAGGCTTTCATGTTAAGAAAAAGTCTGATTCTTTACAAAAGGGACTTGTTTTGGCAGAACTGGTTTTATTTATAATCATTTGGGAAAAAAATTAAGCCCAAAAAACTGGGACTGTGAAACACTAAAATTACTTCAATTTACTATGTCCTGTTACATCCATTGATACCGCCATTATTCAATAATTACTTTTAATAAATGTTTGCTGCCTACCAGCTATGTACCAGGCCCAGTTCTAGGCTCAAACAGCTAAATATTCATTCATTGGACAAATTAAGTACTTAAGTATAAAAATTGTTCTAGGCCTAAGGATGTAGCAGCAACCAAGATCAACTATAAAATGCTGCCCTCCTAGAATTTATATTCTATTGAAGAGTTTCTCAGCCTCAGCACTATTGATGTTTTATGTTTGATAATGTATTCTGGCGACTCTCCTGTGCATTATAGGAATTTTAATATCTGCCCACTAGATGCCAGTCACACCACCCCAGCCCCCAAGTTGTGGCAACCAAAAATGTTTCCAGACATTGCCAGATGTTCCCCAGTTGGATTGTTGGGGGACAAGGGAGGTGAACTTGGAGGGCAAAATCACCCTGGTGAAGAACTACTGCTCTGGTGGGAAACAACACATTAGTTACAGATGAGTGTTAGGGTTACAAGATGGATGGTTTACTATATAGTGAATAAGAATATAAAGTTTGGAGCCAGACTTCCTGGGTTTTTAATCCCAGCTCTTCCAGTTCCTACTATATGCCTTTGGTTGGGTGCCTTGGTTTCCTCATCTGTAAAATGAGAATGATAATACCTACTTCATAGGAGAGTGAAATGAATGCCAGTGCTATCCTCTAGGTCTATATATATATATATATATATATATTATATATAGTACATATATAGAGAGAGTATATATATATATGTAGTACAGTGGAGGTCTATATAATACTATATATATAATTTATTTTTTTCAATGCTGATAGGAATAAGGCTGTGGTTTGGCAAAAAGCACCATTTTCTCCTATACAAAATAGTAACTGCAGTTTGGGAGCACAACTCATGTAGATTGACTTTTCTGGTGCTTAATGGGAAAATACTAAAATAATTGAGTCAGAAAAGGCATGAATTCCTTTTCACGTCCCCAAGGATACTTGAAGAAACTTGAGTTTTAGGAGAAAATCAGAGTGGTCTTTCACTTACATTTTTCTAAAAAGTGTAAAAACCCTGTATTGACTTTCTTGTTGATTCAGTTGTTTCTTAAACGTAAATAGCTCATCTTTACCATATGTGGGCATTACAAATAGAAATTTTTAAAATTCCATTTATAAAATGAAGTTTTGCCGTTTTTTTTTTTAAATCATTCCGTCTTTAGTTGTGGGACAGCAAACTTAGAATCGAAACTCATCACTACAACTTTTCTTTGAGTTAAACTCTTATCTGTGTTTTCATTGAATTTAATCTCCATCTATTCTATCTCTTCTTAAATCTTGGAAATGTAAAAGGGAGTTATAGTGTTTTACAATTAATACTCTTACTATTACCTTAGAAGCCTTAAAAGTGCTTGCAGGCTTGTCTCATAATCTGTCAGTGAGCCTTAACATTGTGATTTGTAAGACTAAAATTTTTTTTTCAAACAAAACAAATCTGACAGCCTGGGCAACATAGACCCCATCTCTACAAAAAAAAATTTTTTTTTAATTAGCTGGGCATGGTGGTGCACGTCTGTACCTGTAGTCCCAGCTATTCAGAAGGATTGCTTGATCCCAGGAGATCAAGGATACAGTGAACTGTGTTCGCGCCACTGCACCCCCACGATGGCAATAGAGTGAGACCCTGTCTTAGAAAAAAAAGATAAATAAGTCTGTTCTATTTGTTACAGTGCATCAACACATTTGAATTTTCTTTTTTTTTCTTTTTCTTTTTTTTTTTTGAGACTGAGTTTCGCTCTTGTTGCCCAGGCTGGCGTACAGTGGTGCGATCTTGGCTCACCCCAACCTCTGCCTCCCAGGTTCAAGCAATTCTTCTGCCTCAGCCTCCTGAATAGCTGGGATTACAAGCATGCACCACCACGCCTGGCTAATTTTGTATTTTTTGGTAGAGATGAGGTTTCTCCATGTTGGTTAGGCTGGTTTCGAACTCCCGACCCAGGTGATCCGCCTGCGTCAGCCTCCCAAAGTGCTGGGATTACAGGTGTGAGCCACCGCACCCAGCCTAATCAATACATTTGATATTTCAAGAATACATGAGAGAAGAGAGGTAGATTGAGAACAGAACTAAACTTTATATATGTTTCCTTAACTATTGGGAGGAAAATGGATGAGTCTGTGTTGGGATACCTGTTGAAACAAGACTACTAAACAGATTAATCAACTAATTCCATAGGCTTGACATTAGTTTATCTTTGAAAAGTAAAAGTAAAGTGCTTATTGCTAAATAGGTCTGTATTCTAAATGCTGCCATTTTTTAAAAAAAGTATTCCATGTTACACACATTTTAAACTTGCTTCTTAAAACATCCCTGTTGGTGGCCTGTAGGTTACTGACCTTAGGAATTACAGGCTTTATCCAAAATTAGGCATATCTACCTGATTTTTGTATCTGAGAATCAATAAATGCATTCAGTATTCTCTACCGTGTTTCAGGCGCTGTTTACAATATCGGAGGTACAGCAGGGATTTTCTGCCCACGTGGGGAAAACACACAGCAAATGAACAAAGCTCTATTGGTAACAGTCTGTTAAACTTTCTAAGAGCTTTCCAACTTTCTAAGAGAAAATTGTAATGATTTTAGAAAAGTGAGCTGTCATTTTTCATATATATAAATTTTTTTATTCATAGGTAATCTAATTTTTCTCATTTCTCCAAAAGGGTACGAAGACAGTTTTTACTATGTTGTTTTACTATGAACCTAGTTTAACCTGACTTTCCTTACAGACCCACATAAATGAGACAATCCAAATTTAGTATTTGGGTCAAAATGCAGGGTTTTTTCCTGAAAACAAAACAGCACACACATATATTACAGGATTTTTATGTAATAATATATTCACTTCAGTCAGGTTTCAGTTTTTAAATAGGCAGAGATCAAAAGCCTCTAATGTTTTTGTCATCCGCCATTATTACCCATTCAAATTTCTATTTATGTCTGGTAGTTATGTCCCCTGTGAGCACTAATTTCAGAACAGGAAATTCTATTAACTGTCAAACTCTTTAATGTGCAGTGCAGTAGGTTTGGAGCAGAGGGGAGTAGGAAGGAGTAAATGATATAATCCAGTCTGGCCTGGCATGGTGGCTCACACTTGTAATCCCAATGCTTTGGGAGGCCGAGATGGGTGGATCACTGGAAGCCAGGAGTTTGAGACAAGCCTGGCCAACATGGTGAAACCCCGTCTCTACTAAAAATAACAAAAATTAGACGGGCACGGTGGTGTGTGCCTGTAATCCCAGCTACTCAGGAGGCTGAGGCAGGAGAATCACTTGAACCTGGGAGGCCGAGGTTGCAGTGAGCTGAGATCACACCACTGCACTTCAGCATGGGCAACAGAGTGAGACTGCAAAAAAAAGAAAAAGAAAAAAAAATCCAGTCTCTGCTGGCAAGGTGTTTAACAAGTCAATGATGGGAAAGACCAGTCAAATAAACTATCAGATCTAATAACTTTTCTAACCATAGGTGATTCTTCTTCCATTATCCATACTAAAGCAAGTGACTCATAATAAAAATTGTTATTTTGTAAAATATATGGACTGTTTGCTTTATATTCCCAACTATTACATCTGGTTGACTATTAACAGGTCAATGTCAGATTTCCTGAGCAAATCAACCAATAATGAAAAACTATGTGGCTGGCAGAAAAAAATAAGTGCGTGTGGTGGTGCTTGCCTGTAATCCCAGCTGCTTGGGAGGCTGAGGTAGGAGGAACTCTTGAGCTCCGGTGGTTTGAGGCCAGCATGGATAACATAGGGAGACCCTGTCACTTGACAAAAGTATCTTTCCCTACTGGAAATGGAATAGAATCGGATGGGTATGGTACAGCAGGTAGTTATGGGGAGACCTCTACTGTTCTAAATGAGACTAATAGTAAATGTTACATAACTAAAGCAACAGATTTGCCAGCTGTGTGAAAGATAACCCAGAGAGGGGTAATGGTAGAGCCAGAATTAACACAGCCAGCTTGTCAGCTACCTTTGAACATGTATTTTCTGTGCAGTCAGATTTGAAGGGTTGGACCTTGGAGTTACTGACATTGGAGGCAACTGAAACCATGAGTGTGAATGAAATTATTTTCGTAAGAATTACTTGGGGTTAAAAATAGTAATAAAAAGGAAAGCCTGGCCTAAACAGTCTTGGGATGGGGAGAAGGGTTGGAGTACAAAGGATTGCTATTACAAAGACATGGGCAGAGAACAAGGCAAATAGCTGAGCAGCAATTGAGAATACAGCATCTTTTATGGCAAAGAGCAAAATACTATTGTTCCTCTTCTAGTATGCTATAGACCAGCAGTAATTTTGTGCTCTAAAATGCTTATTTTTATCTCTCTGTATATACTTGGTGGTGAATTTGCTACAAATGTAAGGAGATGATGGGATAGTTTTTGGAAATACCATCCTCTAATTAGTACCAGGTCTATGTATATCTGCAGCAACTATAAAGTCTGTTTCAGAGTCAGTATTGGCAAACTTATATTTAAATTCAGCTGTAACAAGACATCTTTTTTTTTTTTTTTGAGAGAGTCTGGCTCTGTCACCCAGGCTGGTGTGCAGTGGCGCGATCTCGGCTCACTGCAACCTCCGCCTCCCAGGTTCAAGCAGTTCTCTGCCTCAGCCTCCCGAGCAGCTGGGATTACAGGCATCTGCCACCAAGCCCTGCTAATTTTTCTATTTTTAGTAGAGACGGGGTTTCGCCATCTTGGCCAGGCTGGTCTTGAACTCCTGACCTCGTGATCCATCTGCTTCAGCCTCCCAAAGTGCTGGGATTACTGGCATGAGCCACTGCGCCCGGCAAGTTGTCTTTCAAATATATGCCTTTGCAGTATTTCTCTACTTCCCCAGTAATGTAAACTTTATTTTCTCTCAATTTTCGTAAGTGGTATTTTGGTGCTTTACCCAAAATATTAGGGAGAAAATTCTTCTTTTTAATTGGATTCTCGTATGTTGATCTATTTCTATTGTTTTCTAAAAAAAAGTTAGTGTCCTAGTTTAAAAGTATATATTAGTTTCCTAGGGCTGCTGTAACAAATTATCACAAATTTGGTGGCTTAAAGCAACAGAAATGTACTCTTTCACAGTTCTGAAGGTCGAAGTCCAAAATCAAAGTGTTAGGATGTACTCCTAGAGGCTCTCGGAGAGAACCTGTTCCCATGGCATTATGCCACATCACATGTGCCTCTATCTTTGTATCTCCTCCTCTCTATAATCTTTCTTTTAAAAGGACAATTGTTTTGACATTTAGGGCTTACCCACATACTTCAGGATAATCTCATCTCAAAATGCTTAATCACATCTGCAAAGACACTTTTTTCAAATAAAGTTAACAGACAGAAGTTTGGGGGTTGGGATGTGGACATGCCTTTGGGAGCCATTAACAACCTACCAAAACATTTTAACAATTTTTCAGTACCAAAGACTAGTATGGGTCTGCTCCAAGATAACTCAAAACATTCTGAACTGAATCAGCAGACCCTCAGGTCTCCCTAGAGAGATCCTGAGCACCTAGGAAAGCCCCAGAATTAAGCTACTCTACAAGGATTCTGAGGGAAGTCTGGGATTAGGTGAGACTTTAATGAGTCCATCAGAGGTTTAGTATGGACTAGTTCTACAGTTCCAGAAGCAACATACTGGGTATGGAATATTGTTAACCATTGTCATCCCACAGAATTACCTTCTACTTGTGTCAGTATATATCCTGCCTACCCTACATATTTTATATTTATCAATGATGACAGAAACTTCCCCCCTTTTACTTAGATCTAATAGTAATATAACAAACTTTTCTTTTTCATTTTCAGACATATCCAGAGGGTTTTCTCTTCATCTCACGCATCCCACCTTTAATCAGACATATGTGATTCATATGAGAGAAAATTAGTGTTTCTGAGACCAAATGGTGGTGTTTATAAGATTTTGCTTCTGCACTGAATTCAATGTTTTATTTACTGCTTGGTTATTTTGTTTTTGTTTTTTAAGAAATGGGAGGAGTGTAATATCTAGAGGTACATGAAAAAAAGAAATGGAAGGAATGGACAGGCCCAGAATTAAATGATAAAAACTCATCTGGTTGGAATGAAGTACACTGAACATTTGAGGAAGTTAGAGATTAATTCAACCCAGTGGGTTTTGGGGTTTTTATATGTGTTAGTACATTCAGCGTTAGGGTTGGGTTTCTTGTCTCTGTAATCACTTCTCAAAAATGAATTTGGGCTTCTCCAGATAGCCTTTTTATCCATTTATTATTTCAAGTAATGGTATAAGGAAATTGTAACCATTTGTGTGCTTTACATGTTTAAGATACAAACTTACAGTTCCCAGAAGTCAATTCAGTCATTCTCTATAAGAGCTGTTGTGGAAAAAGTTCTCACTTCACTTACTCATTCCTTTGCATTTTCCAACTTTAGTAAAGCATGACTTCATGCCTTGGATCATACAGGATTTCAACGGGAGATTTATAAGTCTATTTTGTTAGAATAAAAAGCAATAATACTTCCTGAAATACATCTTGGGCTCTTTGCAGAAGCTGAACTATCTGGTAATTACTATTTAGCAAACAGCTAACAGCTAGCTCTTAATTTTTCAGAAATAAGAGGACATCATTGGCCACTATCATACCACTAATTTTATTCCACCAATGCTTTCACAGAGGATGTCACCAAAGAAAGAAGTGGCATCCACTACCCCTCCCCCATCCTTCCACTCTGAACCAGTACAGGATATTCTCATGGTCAGGGCATTCTCTCCTTGGCAGGATGTAGTTAATGACATATGCAGAATTAATGACTTGGTTGCCCTAGGCCCCCCGTCAAGGCTTTTGTTCAAGGGAGAGTAAAGAGGATAGGTCTCAGTATGTCATCCAAACAGGATGGATACAGAATGCCAACCAGGTTAGCCCTGGCAAGTTAAGACATTTTACAGTGCCACTACCTACCTCCATACTGTATCAGAGGAGCCAGTTGCACAGTGTTGATCTCCCTAAGACTATTATAATAAGGAAGGGGTTTTTTTCTTAGCCCAGTTACTACTAAAACTCACTCAGAGGAGCAAGTGAAATTTGTCACAATTGGCTCGACTGCTTTATCTCACTTTGAAAAAGAAAAGTTACAAATTCTAGTAAGCAAAAGATTTTTTGTGACCAGGTCTCCCTGACCTGCACAAAATAAACTCTTCATGAGTTAAACCAAAACAGATTTAATGTCTAAACTTAAATCTAGTTTGACATTAACTTCTTTTCCAAAGAGAAATAACGTTAACAATCTGAAATCATCCCTGCACAGACTTTCTTGGCTCTTCTTTTCTGCCGTCCTATGAATCACAAATAGAAGTTTAAGAAAGCTGTCAGGTAGGCGCCTCAAATTCATTTAAAATGAGGAATGATGAAAGAATAAGAAAAACCAGCAAATGATAGCTTACTTATTCAGTTATTTGGCTTGATACTGCTTGAAAGTGACATTTCTAGATTAAAGATCTGATAAGCTCTGATAGTTGGGAAATAATACTAGTTATTTCTTGGACACCCTAAGATGTGCCACCATTGCTCTAAGCACTTTACATGTGTTGTTCAACCCTCAGCAATGCTATGAAATAGGGGCTGAGTCTCCTAATAGAGCTAATGAATGCATTATATCAAAAGAATGAAATGTTAAATATAGACACTGGAAAATAAAATTACTTTTGCTTGTATTATAAGTGAATACCTTGAAAGCTCAAAAAAATCTATTAGAAGTATTCAGGAACTTGGCTGGATATAAGATAAGCATGCCAAAAATCAATAGCTTTTCTTTATATTTATAAAAAATACCTACAAGTTGATATAGTAAACACGACAGATAAAAACTAAATGCCTTAAGGTATAAGGCTAAGAAAGAACTATTATAAACTCTTATTGAAGGACATAAATCAAGATCTGAACAAATACACTGGGAAGATAATATCATAAAAATATCAATTCCCCCAAATTAGCATGTTAATGTATAATGATTACAATTTAAATTTCAACTGGCTGAGGCTTTGTTTTTGTTTTTGATTTTTTAATAGACTGGATGTTGGTCTTGAACTCCTGGGCTCAAGCAAGTGTCACACCTTGGCCTCCCAAAGTGGATTATAGGCATGAGCCACCGTGCCAGACTTGGGTGAGGTTTTGAAATTGAAATTAAGCAAAATGGGCCGGGCACGGTGGCTCACACCTGTAATCCCAGCACTTTCGGAGGCCGAGGGGGGCGGATCACGAGGTCAGGAGATGGAGACCATCCTGGCTAACATGGTGAAACCCCGTCTCTACTAAAAATACAAAAATTAGCCAGGCATGGTGGCAGGTGCCTGTAATCCCAGCTACTCTGGAGGCTGAGGCAGGAGAATCGCTTGAACCCAGGAGGCAGAGGGTGCAGTAGCTGAGATTGTACCACTGCACTCCAGCCTGGGTGACAGAGCAAATCTCTATCTCAAGAAAAAGAAAAAAGAAAAGAAATTAAGCAAAATGATCTTAAAGTTCAAGTGAAAGAGTAGAGTAGAACTGAGTCCAGAACTAGATTCCAGTATATGACGTTTATACGTGACAAAAATATATTTCTTTTTCTTTCTTTTTTTTTTTTTTTTTTTTGAGACAGTTTCCCTCTTGTTGCCCAGACTGGAGTATAATGGCACGATCTTGGTTCACCACAACCTCCGCCTCCCAGGTTCAAGTGATTCTCCTGCCTCAGCCTCCCGAGTAGCTGGGATTACAGGCATGTGCCACCACGCCTGGGCTAATTTTGTATTTTAGTAGAGATGGGGTTTCTCCATGTTGGTCAGGCTAGTTGCGAACTCCCAACCTCAGGTCATCTGCCCGCCTCAGCCTCCCAAAGTACTGGGATTACAGGTGTGAGCCACTGTGCCCGGCCGACAAAAATATATTTCAATAGAAAATAGTATCAGTAAAATGCTAGCACAACTAACTATCTGTCTAAAGACAATAAAAGTTCAACCCCTATATCATGCAAAAAGCACTTTCCAGATATATTAAAATGTTTTCAAGCTATAAAGTAAAACAGTAGAAGTCTTAGAAGAAAATCTAAGAGACTAGAAATCTAGAGATAGGGTAGACCTTCTTAGCTAATTTTTAAAAATGAAGCTATATTTAAGATATATATTTCAAGTAAATAATAAGTGTGTGTGTGTGTACACACAGATGCTTCTCAGCTTACAATGGGGTTATGTCCCAATAAGCCCATCAGAAGTCAAAAATGTAAGTCGAAAATGCATTTAATACCCTGATAAATCCATCACAAAGCTGAAAAATTATAAGTAAAACTGTAAGTCACAGACTGTATATATAAATTTAAAATTTGGCAAAATATATTGCAAAGTCAAATTTGGGAAAGTATAGCACAGATAAAAGATTAAACTATTCACGGCCAGGCACGGTGGATCATGCCTGTAATCCCAACACTTTGGGAGGCCGAGGCGGGTGGATCACCTGAGGTCAGGAGTTTGAGACTAGCCTGGCCAACGTGGAGAAACCCCATCTCTACTAAAAATACAAAATTAGCTGGGTGTGGTGGTGCATGCCTGTAATCCTAGCTACTCAGGAGGCTGAGGCAGGAGAATTGCTTGAACCTAGGAGGCGAAAGTTGCAGTGAGCCAAGATGGTGCCATTGCACTCCAGCCTGGGCAACAAGAGTGATACTCCGTTTAAAAAAAAAAAAAAAAAAAAAGGTAAACTATTCAAAAGATAAATGGTTGAAAGATATATAACTAGGCAGTTTAGATAAGAACAAATCCAAATGGCCCATCAACATAAAAAGATGCTCTAACTGTAGCCAGAGAAATACGAATCAAAGTACCAACGAGCCCAACACATGGACGAAAACTTCAGAGAACACTACAGTCCCAGAAGAGAGGTAAAGGGCAAGAAATGAATCATTTATTGCTGATGGAAATGTGCATTGTAGAGCTGATATCTGTTCAAATTAAATATGCATATTTGACCTCAATTCTACTACTGATATCTACACCAAGGAAATGAAAGGAAATGCACAAGATTATTTATTGCCACACTCTAGAAGGAAAAACAGAGTGCATGCCCATCAATAGAATAGTTGAATAAATTATGATTCATGCATAATATAGAACATTATGCATTCATTTAAAAATGAGTTTGATGTTTAAAGGTTGACTTAGAAGGATTCCCGTGCAAAGTGAACAAAACAGAATACCGAGAAGGATGTATGTGAGGGATGCATGTGGGCACCTGGGAAAGGAGATGAAGAAAGCAACTGAAGGATATTTACCAAGTTGTTAATATGCATTACCTGACATGGTGATATAGGAGTAGGGGTGAGGAAGTGAAGGATCTGAGTAGGTGGAAAAAGAAAAGCAAAAGTACAACAGCGGGAGAAAAAACAGGATGACTCGTCTAGAAGAGACATTGTCAGTAACAAGTAAATAACATTTTCTGGAATATAAAAAAAAAAGCTATATGAATGTCATCATTATATGTAAAATATGAATGTAAAATACATGGGAGGATAATATGCATTAATAAAAATTATGGTGCTGGCAACAGTATCATGGATGACTGTATTATTATTTCCTTTTCCTTAACATTGTTATGCTATCTTTGAGTAAAATTAATTTTAGAAATTTAAAAATAATTGTCATTATACTTAAACCTTATATTTAAACAAGAAAATAATTCAAAAAACCAAAGCAGTTTAACTTTCTTTCATTACCTGAAATTCAGCCTTTTTACACAGCTAGAGAACTTCAGTTGATCTTGTGAAGGACAAAGAAGCAGAAAGACTTCTCTAGGATGTTGGGTTTCCTAAAAGTTAAACTCAATCATTTAAAGTTGCAAATAGGTAGGCAGGATGGATTCTGAAGCACAGATTTCCCAAATGCCCTTTTTGCAGCAGA